>NC_000012.12:109884370-110035885 GCF_000001405.40 Homo sapiens
GTAGAGACAGGATTTCACCGTGTTAGCCAGGGTGGTCTGGATCTCCTGACCTCATGATCCACCTGCCTCAGCCTCTCAAAGTGCTGGGATTTCAAGCATGAGCCACTGCACCCGGCCGAATCCATCTCTTAAAATTAAAAAATAAATAAACAAATAAATGGAACTATCAGGCTCTTCACCTGACTACTCATCCCCCAGAGCTGCTAGCTTTTCCAGTTCTTCAAGGGAAACCAGAAAACTAGATCCGTAGGTAAAAATTGCTTGATTTTTAAATGTTGGCAACTAACTTGAATTTGTTAAGAACAAGATGTCAGCCACACAAAGCATTTTTTCTTTTTTTTCTTTGACACAATCTCAAACTCACACAAAAGTTACAACTACAGTCACAAGGTTTCCTTCCTGAACCATCTGAGCATAAGTTGCTGAAACAATGCCCAATCACCCTAAACACCTGAATGTGTATTTCCTCCAAACAAGGACGCTCTCCTGCAGAATCACAGTACATCCATCCATGCAGGAAATTCACCCTGATGTACGGCTACCACCTAATCCTCAGACCTTATTCAAGGTTTGCCATTTGTCCCAGTAATGTCCTTTGTTTTTGTTTTTGTTTTTTGAGACGGAGTCTCACTCTGTCGCCTAGGCTGGAGTGCAGTGCTACGATCTTGGCTCACTGCAACCTCCGCCTCCTGGATTCAAGCGATTCTCCTGCCTCAGCCTCCCGGGTAGCTGGGATTACAGGCACCTGCCACCACACCCTGTTAACTTTTTATATTTTTGGTAGAGATGGGTTTTCACCATGTTGGCCAGGCTGGTCTCGAACTCCTGACCTGAGGTGATCCTCCCGCCTCGGCCTCCCAGAGTGCTGGGATTACAGGCGTAAGCCACCGAGCCCAGCCCCAGGACAGTAACTTTGTAGAATATCCCTCATTTTGGTTTTGTCTGATGTTTCTTCATGATTGGATTCAAGTTGTACATCTTAATACTAGAAGCAGCTATAGATTTTGTGTGTCACAAACTATCACAGAAGTGATGCTCTATCCTTCTCATTGTATCATAACAGATGACACAGTGATTTTTATTTGTCCTATTATTGAAAATCTGATGGTTTTTTTTTTTTTTTTTTTTTTGAGACGGAGTCTCGCTCTGTCGCCCAGGCTGGAGTGCAGTGGCACAATCTCGGCTCACTGCAAGCTCCGCCTTCCAGGTTCGCGCCATTCTCCTGCCTCAGCCTCCCGTATAGCTGGACTACAGGCGCTCACCATCACGCCCAGCTAATTTTTTGTATTTTTAGTAGAGACAGGGTTTCACCGTGTTAGCCAGGATGGTCTTGATCTCCTGACTTCCTGATCCGCCCTCCTCGGCCTCGCAAAGTACTGTGATTACAAGCGTGAGACACCGCACCCCGCCTTTTTTTTTTTTTAAGAGGCACAGTCTTGCTCTGTTACTCAGGCTGGAATGCAGTGGTGCAATCATAGCTCACTGCGGCCTTGAACTCCTGAGCTCAAGAAATCTTCCCACCTCAGCCTCCTGAGTAACTGGGACTACAGGTGTGTGCCTATTATTGCAGGTCTTAACTTTGATCATTTGAATAAGGTGTCTTCACTCTTCTCCACTGTAAAGCTATTCTCTTCCTCTTTGAAATTAACAAATACTTCACAGGGAGGCACTAGGTAAAGTAAATATCTCATCACTCATAAAACCTTCCATTTATTTATTTACATCAGTGGGGACTTGTGATTCCATGGGTTACAATCCATTACTATTTATTTATTCATTCATTTTTAGACAGAGTCTTGCTCTGTCGCCCAGGCTGGAGTGCAATGGTGCGATCTCGGCTCACTAAAACCTCTACCTCCCAGGTTCAATCGATTCTTCTGCCTCAGCCTCTTGAGTAGCTGGGATTACAGTCGTCTGCCACCACGCCCAGCTAATTTTTGTATTTTTAGTAGAAACAGGGTTTCACCATGTTGGCCAGGCTGGTCTCGAACTCCTGACCTCAGGTGATCGACCCACCTCAGCCTCCCAAAGTGCTGGGATTACAGGCGTAAGCCACCATGCCCGGCCTATTATTATTTATTTAGTGGCTCAAATTGTCCAAGATTTGGCCAGTGAAAGCCCCTCCAAGCTAGCTTCTGTGTGTTTCTGTCATGTCCCCATCATTAAGTCCTTCCTTACTCTCTAGCACAAGATATTCCAAGCTTATCTTGTACTTTCCCTGCCCTGGTCTCCAAACCAGCCATTTCTCCAAAAAGCCCTGGTTCTTTTCGGTGGGCAATGGCATTTCGAAACCAAGATCTAGATGTGCTTTTTGTTTTTTGGGAGATTTTTTTGTTTGTTTTTTGTTTTTTGTTTTGAGACAGAGTCTTGCTTTGTTGCCCAGGCTGGAGTGCAATGGCATAATCTTGGCTCACTGCACCCTCCACCTCCCGGGTTCAAGCAATTTTCCTGCCTCAGCCTCCTGAGTAGCTGGGATTATAGGTGTGCACCGCCACGCCCGGCTAATTTTTGTATTTTTAGTAGAGATGGGGTTTCACCATGTTGGTCAGGCTGGTCTCGAACTCCTGACCTCGTGCTCCACCAGCCTCAGCCTCCCAAAGTGTTGGGATTACAGGCGTGAGCCACTGCGCCCGGCCTAGATGTGCTTATTGTTATCGGGGTGTCCCTTCTCCTAGATTCACTCAGTTTTATATGCACACATACACATTCATGTCTATGTTTATCTATATTTGTTCCTATAGTCTTCTATCCGTATTGAAAACCATAGTTTTGGCTGGGTGCAGCAGCTCAAGACTGTAATCCCAGCACTTTGGGAGGCCAAGGTGGGTGGATCACCAGGTCAAGAGATCAAGACCATCCTGGCCAACATGGTGAAACTCTGTCTCTACTAAAAATACAAAAATTAGCTGGGTGTGGTGGTGCAAGCCTGTAATCCCAGCTACTCGGGAGGCTGAGGCAGGAGAATCGCTTGAACACAGGAGGCAGAGGTTGCAGTGAGCCGAGATCGCACCACTGCACTCCAGAGCAAGGCTCTGTCTCAAAAAAAAAAAAACAAAAAAAAAAACCATGGTATTTCACCCTGATAGATCCAATTCTAATTTGTCTCTATGGGGTTAATTCTACTTTTCTCCCTTTTCTTGTTTGTAGTTCCCTTCTCCTGCAGTGAGAAACCTGGTGTTCTCCTTGTTTTTTCCTCATTTGATCAATCCCCCATAGGTTACAACTTCCTATCATTGCTGCCACTCCCTCCCCAGCAAGGATGCCCCTCATGCCATGCTCACGCTTCTGTAGCCCCTGCCAGTCTGCCTTTCCATGAGGATGCCCTTCTCACTTGCTGAGCTCTGGCCACCCCCTCCCCATGCAGACACCTTTCTTATTCCATTTGGGATCTGACACCCACCTTTGTTGTTTTTGTTGTTTAGAAACGGAATCTCACTCTGTTGCCCAGACTGGAGTGCAGTGGCATGATCACAGCTCACTGCAGCCTCTACCTCTTGGGCTCCAACGATCCTCCTGCCTCAGACTCCCAAGTCGCTGGGACTACAGTCGTGCATCACCATGCCTGGATAATTTTTAAATTTTTTGTTAAGACAGGGTCTCACTATGTTGCCTAGGCTGGCCTCGAACTCTTGGCCTCAAGCAATCCTCCCGCCTCAGCCTCCCCAGGCACTGGGATTACAGGTGTGAGCCACTGCACCCAGCCTGACACCCCTCTTTGGACCAGCATGTACCCTCCCCAGTGCCCCCCATTACTGACATTTACCTTGCTGGGACCCACCTATTGGCTTTTGGATTGAATTGTTCAAGAATAGAAGGGCGAGGAAGAGAGAAAACAGGGCGGGGGAGAGGTGGGAAGGAAAAGGGGAAGAGCCACAGAAACCTTCAGCAAGTTGGCTTTGGCTATGGGCCATCAGTTTCTCCCCTTAGCTTCCCGTAGTGTCAGGGAAATACTACCAGGCACAGAGGAGCCACCTCATCTTTTTGGATTGTTGGGTCACTGTACTTCTCCATGAGTTGCAAACCCTCTCTGCAATTAATCTGTAGGACCAGCTTGACCAATGGAGTTGTAATGTTTGGAATCAACTCAGTGTGGGTGAGGTGTTCACTCTGCAAAGTTTCGTCATTTTCCTAAACCAGCTCCACCCAGTGTTAATAACATCTTCCCCAACTGAATCATCAAATCCTTGTTACACAGGCCGTCTTTCCCCCAGCGGTGTCTGTTGGGATGGGTGAAGTAGGCTGAGTTCGTGGTCTTGCTGACATTTTATCCAATAAACGCACCTTCTTTATTGCAGCATAGTAATAATAATAATGACAGCTAACATTTATTGAATACTTAACTATGTTTAAAACTCAACACTTCTACTTTCTAGCTGTGTGGCCTTGAGCAAGTCACTTCCTGTGTCAGTTTCCTGTGGCTGCTTGATGATTTAAAACAATCAAAATGTATTCTCTCACAGTTCTAAAAGCCAGAAGTCCAAAATTAGTATCACTAGGGCAAAATCAAGGTGTTGGCTAGAACACACTCTCTCCGAAGGCTCTGAGCTGGGCACGGTGGTACGTGCCTGTAATCTTAGTTACTTGGGAGGCTGAGGTGGGAGGACTCCTTGAGTCGAGGAGTTTGAGACCAGCCTGGGCAACATAGCAAGGTCCTGTCACCAAAAAAAAAAAAAAAAGACTGGGCATGGTATCTCACACCTGTAATCCCAGGACTTTCGGAGGATGAGGAGGGAGGATTGCTTGAGCTCAGGAGTTTGAAACCAGCCTGGGCAACATAGCAAGACCTCATCTCTACAAAATTAAAAGTAAAAGACGACTCTGGGCTGGGTGCGGTGGCTCATGCCTGTAATCCCAGCACTTTGGGAGGCCGAGGCAGGCAGATCACGAGGTCAGGAGATCGAGACCATCCTGGCTAACACGGTGAAACCCCGTCTCTACTAAAAATACAAAAAATTAGTCGGGCGTGGTGGCGGGCGCCTGTAGTCCCAGCTGCTCAGGAAGCTGAGGCAGGAGAATGGCATGAACCCAGGAGGCAGAGCTTGCAGTGAGCCTGCTGCACTGCACTCCAGCCTGGGTGACAGAGAGAGACTCCATCTCAAAAAAAAAGACGACTCTGGAAGAAAATCTATTCTTGCCTCTTCCAGCCTCTGGTGGCTCTAGGCATTCCTGTCTCACTCCAGCCTCTGCCTCCATCTTCATGTGAGCTTCTCCTGTGTGTGTGTAAATCTTCCCTCTGTTGTTTCATCTGTAAAGTTAGGACAGTAGCAATGCTAACTCCCTGTCAGGGCTGATGTGAGATTTCAATGGGTTAATGTAGATAGAGCAGTTTGCATGCTGGCAGGCAGGCAGCCCTCGATGAATGGTGTGGCTATTATGAATCGATTTACGGAGTTATTTCTACCCAGGACTGGCAATTGTGGGGATAATTGATTCCAGTGATGTCACCTCCCCAACTGCCAGGTTTTCAGCAGGACTAAATGTGCCAAATGGGCTTTGTTGAGCCAACTCCTCTGGGTGTTAAGAGCCACCATGCCAATTCTCCTTGCTGCTTCTTGGGGCCCGTCTGCCGCCTCTCCCTAATTAATGCGAAGGCGCACCCGCCAACAGGCCCACTTGCTGTCATCCCAGGAAACACCCAAGTGGGATACAGCCAAGTTTTGGACATTTTTTCAGTTACTGGATAAAAATAGTATTTTGATCATTTTAACAGCACAGAGAAGAGGGAGAATGCCACCTTGTCCTCCATCTACAGGGGCAGCCTCAGGGGCTGAGAGGGCCTGGCCTTTGTAGTCTCACATGGATAAACTGTTCTAAGGAAGCCTGACTGTGTCACAATCCTAAGACAGTGTCATAGCACACTACCATTATCATTAAATTGAAGAAACATGAAAATGAACCAACCTGTGCAACACAAAAGACCTCATCTCTACAAAAAAAAAAAAAAAAAAGTTAGCTGGGCATGGGGGCGCATGTGCCTGTGGTCCCAGCTACTCAGGAGGCTGAGGCTGGAGGATTGCTTAAGCCCAGGAGATAGAGGCTGCAGTGAGCCATGATTGTGCCACTGCACTGCAGCCTGGGTGAGAGAGCAAGACCCTGTCCCAAAAAGAAAGAGAGAGCAAGCCAACCTTTTTCTTTTTTCTATTTTTTTTTTTTTTTGGAGACAGGATCTCACTCTGTCACCCAGGCTGGAGTGCAGTGGCGTGACCTCGGCTCACTGCAACCTCTGCTTCCCAGGTTCGAGCGATTCTCCCACCTCAGCCTCCCGAGTAGCTGGGACTACAGGTGCATGCCACGACGCCCAGCTAATTTTTGTATTTTTAGTAGAGACCGGCTTTCACCACGTTGGCCAGGCTGGTGTTGAACTCCTGACCTCAGGTGATCCACCTGTCTCGGCCTCCTAACGTGCTGTGATTACAGGCACGAGCCACCGTGCTCAGCTGACCTTTTTCATTCCATTCAGTTCCGCAATCACTACTGGAACTTTTCTCTCAGACCAGGCTTTGCCAGGCAATGTGGGGTCAAAGATGGAGCTCTCTCAAGGAGCTCACAGACTGGTGGTGTTAATGGCAATGAATCATGTATGAATCTGAGCATTCAAAAATGAGGACAGGCATTAGCACACAGCCTCTGCCTGGCAGCTAACGAGTCCGGGTAATGGTTTTGAACCCCTAGGGTATTTGTTCCTTTCTTCTCTTATTAACTTCCCTGGGTGAAAATGTTTTGAATACGGAAAACAAAACAAATCACATTGGAATTTGTACCTCTATGGTAAACTACCTGTACAGTTTTGATTCCATGGGAACACTTAGGTTTAATTTTGAAGCAAAATCTAAAGACCAAAGTTCCTCACTGAATTAATTTTATAGTAAGCACAGTTTAAACATCCTTCTCTATAGGAAAATTGTAACTTTCGCTTATTTTTATTGGTACTTCTAATGCTGTGTAGTTGAGTGAGTAAATGTGCTATGGTCAGTTCTAACTAAAGGAGAAGATATAGTAATGGGCTTTCTTAATATTTCCTTTTTTTTTTTTTTTGAGACAGAGTCTCACTCACTCTGTCGCTCAGGCTGTAGTGCAGTGGTACAATCTCCCCACTCACAGCAACCTCCACCTCCCAGGTTCAAGCAATTCTCCTGCCTCAGCCTCCCAAGTAGCTGGGATTACAGGTGCGCAACACCATACCTGGCTAATTTTTTGGGTTTTTTTTTTTTAGTAGAGACTGGTTTCACCATGTTGGCCAGGATGGTCTTGAATTTCTGACCTCAAGTGATCCACCTGCCTTGGCTTCCCAAAGTGCTGGGTTTATAGGTGTAAGCCACTGTGCCCAGCCCCAATATTTGCTTTTTTTTTTGAGACGAAGTTTTGCTCTTGTCGCCCAGGCTGGCGTGCACTGGCGAGATCTTGGCTAGGCTCACTGAAAACTCTGCCTCTCAGGTTCAAATGATTCTCCTGCCTCAGCCTCCTGAGTAGCTGGGATTACAGGCATGCACAACCACGCTCTGCTAATTTCTGTATATTTAGTAGAGACGGGGTTTCACCATATTGGCCAAGCTGGTTACCAACTCCTGACCTCAGGTGATCCACCTGCCTCAGCAAGTAGAAACCTTGTCTCAAAGTTTCTACTCAAGGTTTCAGTAGAAACCTTGTCTCTACTGAAAATACAAAAATTAGCTGGGCGTGGTGGCGCATGCCTGTAGTCCCAGCTACCCAGGAGACTGAGGCATGAGAATTGCTTGAACCCAGGAGGTGGAGGTTGCAGTGACCTGAGATTGTGCCATTGCACTCCAGCCTGGACAACAGAGCAAGATACCATCTCAAAAAAAAATCATTTATTTAATGCTTCAATGAAAGCTATGGAAGAAAAATACAGTATGTCCTGACACCAAGTGACCTGGTCAGAGGGAATCAGGAGGGCTTCTCCAAGGAAGGGACATTTACACTGGGATCCTGAAGTCTGAGTAGGAGTTAGCAGAGGGGAAGGGTCTTCCAGACAGAGGGAACAGCATAGCAGGAAAGGTGGTGGTGAGAGATAAAGAAATGACCAGTGTGGCCAGTGATGTCAGCAGGGGACCAGACCAGGCTGGACACAGTGGTATGGGCTTCATGCCAAGGGAAATGGGGAGCCATGGAAGGTTCAAGGCTGAGAAGATGATGGAACTGCTCTGATGTGGTCTACCAGTCATCTTGAACTTTGGGACTTAGGAAGTAGAGGTTGTCTGTCATCCAGGAATGGCCAGTGGGTGCCTGTGGGCAGGAAAGTCACAGAAAACACAGGACTGACCTGATGCCCCATTTTGGTGGACTGTGCCCCATACCTGACACCCCAGCAGAAGGGAATTGGTGCGGGATTTGGGATGGGAACCCTGATGCACTGTAAAGACCATCAGAGTGCTCTGCCCAACTACTCTAAGCCTCAGTGGGGTTACTCTAACTCATACTCCTAGAGACACTGTGAGGATGAAGGTGGTCACCCAGGAACAGGACAATCAAGGTTCAGTAACTGGTAAGCAGGTGTTGGCTGAGTCTCCTCCTCTTTGTGGCTTCAGTTTCTGCCTCTACACACGGAGTCTACCAGCTGCTTTCACTATCACGCTGGCTCTGCCACTTACCTCATTTAGGCACACACTCCCCATTTCTGAGCCCCCATTTCCTCCTCTATAAAGCAAGGGCTTTGGGTGGGGTGAGCTTCAGCAAGCTGGAACCTGTGGTCTTAAATTGTGAACATCAGGCCGGGCGCAGTGGCTCATGCCTGTAATCCCAGCACTTTGGAAGGCTGAGGTGGGTGGATCACCTGAGGTCAGGAGTTCAAGACCAGCCTTGCCAACATGGTGAAACATGGTCTCTACTAAAAATACAAAATTAACTGGGTGTGGTGGTGCATGCCTGTAATCCCAGCTACTCAGGAGACTGAGACAGGAGAATCGCTTGCACCTGGGAGGCAGAGGCTGCATTAAGCTGAGATCTGCACCATTGCACTCCAGCCTGGGCAACAAGAGTGAAACTCCTTCTCAAAAAAAAAAAAAAAAAATTGTGAGCATCAGATCCAGCAGGGCATCTTGTCACCAAGGATTGCTCTTGGGCCCAGTCCCCAGAGAGAACTCTAGCTCTGGGGAGGAAGTTGGATGTTTATCATGTGTCTTTCACAGGATACTTCTTTATGCTGGTGGCTTGCCTAATGCCAAAGTGTCCCATGACCCATGACCAGGTGTCCTTCTCCCAGGAAACATGTTGAGATCGGCTGATGCCCTTGTGGCTCTTGTTTCACCTATATCCAGTTTATTCCAAACAAGACAGCCACTCTCTAGGAGAGCCTGACCGGGAGGGGTGAGCATTGAGTTCAGGTGTGTTGGTCGAGTGAAACACAGAGGGAGCAACTCAACAAAAATAGCAGAAGCAGTTTATTACTCACAGATCCAGAGAGCAGCGAGCAGGGTTTGCATAGCCAATGGAAATGGGAAGCTATTTGGGACATGTGTGCTTAACCAATGGGGACAGAGAGAGAGAGAAATATGGGCTAAAGACTTTATTGGAGGCCAGGCACGGTGGCTCATGCCTGTAATTCCAGGACTTTGGGAGGTTGAGGCACGTGGATTACTTGAGGTCAGAAGTTCAAGACCAGCCTGGCCACTATGGTGAAATGCCATCTCTACTAAAAATACAAACATTAGCCAGGCATGGTGGCAGGTGCCTATAATCTCAGCTACTCAGGGAGGCTGAAGCAGGAGAATCGCTTGAACCCACGAGGTGGAGGTTGCAGTGAGCCAAGATTACACCACTGTACTCTAGCCTGGGCAACAGAGTGAGACTCAGTCTTAAAAAAAAAAAAAAATGTAATCTCAGCACTTTGGGAGGCCGAGGCGGGCGGATCACGAGATCAGGAGTTCAAGACCATCCTGGTTAACACGGTGAAACCCTATCTCTACTAAAAAATACAAAAAAATTAGCCGGGCGTGGTGGTGGGCACCTGTAATCCCAGCTACTGAGGAGGCTGAGGCAGGAGAATGGTGTGAACCCGGGAAGCCGAGCTTGCAGTGAGCCACCAAGATTGTGCCACTGCACTCCAGCCTGGGCAACAGAGCAAGACTCCGTCTCAAAAAAAAAAAAGAAAAAAAAGGCCGGGTGCAGTGGCTCATGGCTGTAATCCCAGCACTTTGGGAGGCCGAGGTGGGCAGATCACCTGAGGTCAGAAGTTCAATACCAGCCTGACCAACATGGAGAAACCCCATCTCTACTAAAAATACAAAATTAGTTGGGCGTAGTGGCGCATGTATGTAATCCCAGGTATTTGGGAGGCTGAGGCAGGAGAATCGCTTAAACCCAGGAGGCGGAGGTTGCAGTGAGCCAAGATCGCGCCATTGCACTCCAGCCTGGGCAACAAGAGCGAAACTCTGTCCCAAAAAAAAAAAAAAAAAAAAAAAGACTTTGTTGGAGTCCAGGGCATTCCCCTAGCAGGTTTCCCTCAGGGAGTTCTACTTGTTGGGTTTAGAGCTAGTGGGCATGTGTTCCAGGAGGTCACACTGTGACTAGGACTGGTCACTGCAGCATGACTGTGCCATCCAGGCAGGGGGTGGGGTCGGGGGGTGAGTCGAGTAGTTTGTCTTCAGCTGTCCCATAGGGAGGGGGTCAGCAGTTGCATAAGACAGATACCTGGGTTGACCACCTTGAGGAACTGGGAGGAGGTGGAGAATGGACTATGTCAAGGGTTGACTGAGACCTGCTTTTTATATGAGAAAGTCTAAAATATTCAAAATGGTTGCCCAGGCAACATAAAATTACAGGAATTCACTACAGTTCCCCAGCTGAAGTAATGGTATGGTTCAAGGTTCAAGAATTACTTTTTTTTTTTTTTTTTTTTCAGAGACAGTGTCTCATTCTCTCACCCTGGCTGCAGTGCAGTGGCTCAATGATGGCTCACTGCAACCTCGACTTCCCAGGCTCAGGCAATCCTCCCACTTCCACGTCCCAGGTAGCTGGGACCACAGGTGTGCACCATCACACCCGATTAATAAAAAAAAAAATTTGGGTGGAGATGGGGTGGGGGGTCTCTCTATATTGCCAGGCTGGTCTTAAATGCCTGGGTTCAAGCGATCCTCCTCGGCCTCCCAAACAAAGTGTTGGGATTACAGGTGTGAATGACCTCACCTGACCCCATTGTTATTTTTTTAAAACACAAAGCTGGGGCTCTGAGAAGCAGCCTAGTAGCCCCAGGGTCTTTGAGCCCACCTGTCTACTTCTGCGGTCTTGTCTTCAGGTGGGGTGGGGTGTGAAGCAAGAAGCTGGAGTGGTTGGTGTTGAAATGTCATACCTTCACAACGGTACCTGCTAATTAAATGATGGCATTGTGCGGCTTCCAGTACTGTCATGTTTCATCTAATGGAGAGCGGCTCCCATAGTGTCACCCCCTCTCCCTGTTCTTGTTTTCTTCTCCCATGCTAGGATACCTAAAATCACAAGTCCTGGAGCAGCTCCAACCTGCGGGTTCCTACCAGGGCTTTCCCTCTCAGCCCCCTGCACGCCGTAGTCATTGACCTGTCATTGAATATTTCATATTGCCAAATTCTTTGTATGTTCACATTTGCAGGCCTCTTTTTTTTGAGATGGAGTCTCACTCTGTTGCCCAGGTTGGAGTGCAGTGGCATGATTTCGGCTCACTGCAACCTCTACCTCCCAGGTTCAAGTGATTCTCTTGCTTCAGTCTCCTGAGTAGCTGGGACTACAGGCACGCACTACCACACCTGGCTAATTTTTGTATTTTTGGTGGAGATGGGGTTTCACCATGTTGCCCAGGCTGGTCTCGAACTCCTGACCTCAAGTGATCCATCCGCCTTGGCCTCCCAGAGTGCTGGCATTACAGGCGTGAGCCACTGTGCCCGGCCGCAGGCCTCTTTTAAGAGCTACACTTGCAAGCCACAAGCTCCCAGAAAAACACACTGAAGAGGGATTCACAGTCTCAGAGGTTTGTTGTAAATCCTGGCTTTTATAGTCTTTGCTGTGTGACCTCAAGAGAGTTGATTCACCTCTCTGAGCCTCAGCGCCCTCATCTGCAAAATGGGGGCAGGAACAAACTCCTCCCAGGTTGGAGGGAGGCTTAAATGAGATAATATATCTCAAAGCACCTGGCACATAGCAGGTGTTCAAGAAATGCTCGTTCCTTTTCTTCTTTTTGCTTTCTCTTAACACCATAGATTCCTTTTTCCTTTGGAGGAGAAGAAAGTACTCAAAATAGGGGATCCATTCACTTTTTCATTCTCAACACAAATATTGATTGAGGCCGGGCATGGTGGTTCATGCCTGTAATCCCAGCGCTTTGGGAGGTTGATGCCTGAGGTCAGGAGTTCAAGACCAGCCTGGGCAACATGGCAAAACCCCAACTCTACTGAAAAAAAATACAAAAATTAGCCGGACGTGGTGGCGGGCACCTGTAATCCCAGCTACTTAAGAGGCTGAGGCAAGAGAATTGCTTGAACCTGGGAGGCAGAGGCTGCAGTGAGCCAAGTTCGCACCACTGCACTCCATCAGCCTGGGTGATAGAGTGAGACTCTGTCTCAAATATATATATAGATAGATATAGATATATAGATAGATAGATAGAGTGCTTACCACATACAAGGCATGGCATGGGGAATGCAGCAAGGAACACGATGATCCCTGCTCTTGTGTTGCAGCAAGAGGGCTTAGGCACTGGGATCAGGCAGAACTGGTTTCAAATCATGGCTCAACCACCTATCAGCTGCGGCTCCTCAGGCAAGCCATGCCACCTTTTCGAGGCTTAGTTTAGGCAATTCTAACATGGGGGCAATAAGATATCTCATAGAATGCCCAAGAGGAGCAAAGGAAAAGGCACTTGTAAAGTTGCTTAATAGCGACAGCCAGCAGCTGTGTAATCAAGAGGTTCAGAGTTGAACTGTGGGGGCCGGTGAGGATGTCTGGCCAGCAAAAGAGAATGGAGGCTGTAATCTGGGGACTTCAGGCTTCCAGGATCAGGCCACTTAGGAATGGTTGCCCTCCGGCATGCTGGTCGAGCCCTAAGCCCTAAAGTTCTGCTAGTGGAGCTTATCTGGTCATTATACAGATGAGGAAACTGAGGCCCAGAGAGTGGAAAGGCCTTGCCCAAGAGGCACAAAATCAGGATCAGGTCTCCCTTACCTTGCCCCAACTCACATATTTCTTTTTCTTTTCTTTTCTTTCTTTCTTTCTTTTTTTTTTTTGAGACAGGGACTCCCTCTGTTGCCCAGGCTGGAGTTCAGCGGTCAGATCTCGGCTCACTGCAACCTCTGCCACCTGGGTTCAAGTGATTCTCATGCCTCAGCCTCCCGAGCTGGGATTACAAGTGCATGCCACCACACCTGGCTAATTTTTGTATTTTTAGTAGAGACAAGGTTTCGCCACGTTGGCCAGGCTGGTATCGAACTCCTGACCTCAAATGATCCACCTGCCTCAGCCTCCCAAAATACTAGGATTACAGGCGTGAGCCACCACGCCTGGTCCAATTCATGTGTTTATGAAGTTCCTGTCGACAGACATTTATGTGTTGGTCTCCTTTGTTGGGTGGGCATCTCTGCTAAGTGACTGCAGTGGGCTGCTGCCACCCCTCTGCACTGGGGACACAACATGAAAGAGTGGCCATGAATTTGCCCAAGGGGGTAGGGATTAATGGGAGGGAAACTTGAGGACTCTTATGCACGCAGTGGGACAGACCCTGATTAAACAGGTGCCAACTAAAGGGGGATGTGAAGGAAGGCTCAAGTTTGGGCTCACCTGGGATGCACTGGATGCTCTACTCCTGGGCATGCTCCATTTATTCTCACACGGGCAACCCTAGAAAGCTGCACTATTTTTTGTTTTGCTTTGTTTTTTGAGACAGAGTCTTGCTCTGTTGCCCAGGCTAGAGTGCAGTGGCATGATCTTGGCTCACTGCAACCCCCGTCTCCTCGGTTGAGGCGATTCTCCTGCCTCGGCCTCCCGAGTAGCTGGGACTACAGGTGCCTGCCACCACGCCCAGCTAATTTTTATATTTTTAGTAGAGACGGGGGTTTCACCATGTGGCCAGGCTGGTCTGAAGCTCCTGACCTCAAGAGATCCGCCAGCCTTGGCCTCCCAAAGTGCTGGGATTACAGGCATGAGCCACCAGGCCCGGCCTGAAAGTTGCTCTATTTTTACTCTCATTCCATGGACTAGGAAGCTGAGGCACAGACAGATGAAGTGACCTGCCCAAGACTACACCAGCATGGTATAGCTTGAAACCTGGGCGTTCTGACTGTAGAGACCATGTTTTGAGACAGGGTCTCACTCTGTCACTCAGGCTGGAGTGCAATGGTGTGATCACGGCTCACTGCAGCCTCCTTGTCCTGAGCTCAAGTGATCCTCCCACCTCAGCCTCCCAAGTTGCTAGGACTATAGGTGTGCACCACCACAGCCTGCTAATTTTATTTATTTATTTATGTATTCATTTATTTATTTAATTTGGAGGTGGAGTCTCACTTTGTCACCCAGGCTGGAGTGCAGCAGCGCAATCTTGGCTCACTGCAACCTCTGCCTCCCAGGTTCAAGCGATTCTCCTGCCTCAGCCTCCCGAGTAGCTGGGAGTATAAGCATCTGCCATCATGCCCGGCTAATTTTTGTATTTTTAGCAGAGACGGGGTTTCATCATGTTGGCCAGGCTGGTCTTCAACTCCTGACCTCAGGTAATCCACCCTCCTGGGCCTCCCAAAGTGCTGGGATTACAGGCGTAAGCCACTGAACCCAGCTGAGGCCATGATGCTGCATCCAGGAAAAACAGAGATGAATAAAGAATGGAGAAATGAAGGGAAGAAGAAATGAAAGAATGGGAAAATGAAAGAAAAGAGAACAAACAAGTATTTTTCTTCATTTTCTTTTTAATGGAATAGTTGGCATGTAATACTTGTAGCACACGAGTTATAAAACATACTAATAGAATGAACACTTTTGAACTCACCACCAATATAAGACTATAATAGAAAGTTATCGGCCGGGTGCAGTGGCTCACTCCTGTAATCCTAGCACTTTGGGAGCCTGAGGCAGGCGCATCACGAGGTCAGGAGATCGAGACCATCCTGACCAATATGGTGAAACCCCATCTCTACTAAAATACAAAAAATTAGCTGGGCGTGGTGGCGTGCGCCTGTAGTCTCAGCTACTCGGTAGGCTGAGGCAGGGTAATCGCTTGAACCCGTAAGGCGGAGGTTGCAGTGAATCGAGATCACGCCACTGCACTCCAGCCTGGCGACAGAGCAAGACTCTGTCTCAAAAAAATAAAAAAGTTACCAATAACTTCCATCTACTTATGCCAGCAGGCCTCTGCCCAAGTTGTACATTGAACACACCTGGGGAATTTTGGAAAACACTGATACTCTCAGATGGGATTTGGGGTTTGGTTTGGGCATCTGGATTTTTTAAAGGTATCTGGATTTTTTCTTCTTTTTTTTGAGACAGTGTCTGGCTCTGTCACCCAGGCTGGAGTGCAGTGGCACAGTCATGGCTCACGGCAGCCTCGATCTCCTGGGCTCAACTGATCCTCCCGCCTCAGTCTCCCGAGTAGCTGGGACCACAAGTCCCACCATGCCCGGTTAAGTTTAAAAAATTTTTTAGAGACAGGAGTCCCTCTGTGTTGCCCAGGCTGGTATCTGGTGATTCTCACGCGCAGCCAGGTTTGAGGACCACTGACTTACATTCTCTTCCCCCTGGTTTCCACCTTCACCTTCACGTGATGGTAACCACCATCCTGAAATACGTGTAGTGCATGGACGGATTCTTTGCCTCCATGCTTCCCTATTTCAAGGAGCAGCGACGTTTGCTATTTATCTCCCGCTGGCCACGACGGGGCACCAGAGAAAAACACAGGCTCCCTACGCGCTGAAGGAGGCTTGGCCCTTGCGACGCTCCGTCGTCGGGCTCGTTGCCGGTGCAAACAGGGAGGAAACAGCCGGCGTTGCTGTAGCGCGTCTGGGAATTACACCGGGGGACTGGCCGGCCCGCTTCGTGCCTGCGGGAAGTCGGGCCGGGGGACTCTTCGGAAACTCCGAGCCTCAGAGAAATGTGAGTCGGAGGGTTGGACTAGGCCGGATCCGGCGTTAGGGCGGGGGCCCGCAGGCGGCCCGCGCGGGCGGGAACCGGGGCGGCAGTCAGCGGGCGCGAGCTCAGGGCGCCTCCGGGGTCCTCACTGCGCTCCCCACGCGCTGTGACCCCATTTGTTGCACGTGCATGTTCAGGTCGAGAGAGGGATGCGACGTGTTCGGGGAGCAGCCCACCTTGTGGGTGGCCAATCCGGGACGGGAATCTTAAACTTTTAACTCTTGGTGCAAAGACTGATCCACTGGCGGCTTTACGGGAGCGGGAAAAAAGTATGTGAAGCTTGCCACGGTCTCGAGACCGAGGTCACACGTTAGCAGCCTGCCGGCTACATTTGGACCATAGACGCAGAGTGTTTGCCCCCAAAACTGGAGGACCTCCAGAATGAGATTCTTGGCGTGCACCAGGCCTTTTCGCTCATTCAGCCGGCGTTCCTACCCAGGCACTGCATCGACCCTACACTTGAGGACAGCTTTTGGGTCAGGGGAATTGGTGCCTGGAGTGAGACTGCTCTCTGCTTTCAAGGCTCCAGCTGTATCCCTACATTGCTCAGGCAATTCCTCTCTCTAGGTCTCAGCTTCTTCATCTGCAAGATGAAAGGTCTGTCCTCCATGGTAGCCCAACATACTTCCGAGTGTTATTATCAGTCCCCTCCCCGGGGACTGCCAGAGCCAGGGCAGGTTGGTCCCAACAGGCAGCCCCTTGCAGCAGAGAGAGCCTGGGCTCTGGTCTCAGACGGACATGAATTAGGAACCCAGCTTGTTTATCTCCTTTACTTCCTGGCTCTGTGATCCTGAGCAAATCACTTTGTAATGCTTAACGTTGTTTTTACTAACCTTGTTTTTTAATGCCTTACCTTGTTTTTACTAACCTTGCTTTTAGACTCTTTTTTTCCCCTTAATCACCTAGCCTTGTTTCCACATGAATTAGCTCTCCCTTAGTTGAGAAAGCCGGATGAACTCCATCTGGTTCCCTCATTTACAAGACATCAAGGACTCCTTACCCACCCCTTTCCTCAAGGAGTTAACTTGTGTAAGCAGAATCTCAACATATCAAAGAGTCCAATTAACTGATAAGGTACTGAAACAAGCAATGTACGAAGTTCCCAGGATTTTGCTCAAAAGATAACACCATAAAACCTTGAGTTGGTGTCGGGCAGAGCACCCATATCTAACATTTTATGAAAGATTTAGAGCCCCTGCACCTGGAACTGTTGTTTCTCTGTAACCATTTGTCTTTTAATTGTTTCTCTGTGACTCTTTGTCCTTTTAATTTTTGCATGTTTTTACTTATGTAGAATTGTTGCATCTGAGCTCCCCTCCCCTTCCTAAACCAAAGTATAAAGGAAAATCAAGCCCCTTCCTCGGGCCAAGAGAATTTATTAGCCGTCTCTTGGGCACTGGCTAAATAAAGGACTCTTAATTTCGTCTCAAACTGTGGCGTTTCTCTAACTCGCTCGGGTACAACAACTTTACCTCTTCAACGTAAGTTTCCTTACCTGCCAAATAGCGAGGTGATTGTAAGAATGAAAAAAAGTCATATGTATTGAGTGCTTGGCACATACATGTGTTCCTTACATTATTGTCTCTGTTTAAGCACAGCATAAATGCCCCCGATGTGCCTAGTCTAGCAATCTTAGGACAATCCCTGTGTCTGTCTGTTGTGTTCCTGGTGATGGCTGGCCCACAGCTGGGTGCACGCAGTCCAGAATTTTTTATGTTTTTGTTTTTTTGAGACAGAGTCTCACTGTCACCCAGGCTGAGTGCAGTGGCGCTATCATGGCTCGCTACAGCCGTGACCTCCTGGGCTCAAGCAATCCTCCTGCCTCAGCCTCCTGAGTAGCTGGGACTACAGGCGCACCACCACTCCTGGCTAATTTTTGATTTTTTATAGAGATGAGTCTCATGATGTGGCTGGTCTCCAACTCCCGGCCTCAAGTGATCCTCCTGCCTCAGCCACCCAAAGTGTTGGGATTACAGGCATGAGCCACTGTGTCTGGCTAAGGTTTATTTGTTTTGTTTTGTTGTGTTTTGAGATGGAGTCTTGCACTGTCGCCTAGGCTGGAGTGCAGTGGGACAATCTTGGTTCACTGCAACCTCCACCTCCTGGGTTCAAGTGACTCTCCTGCCTCAGCCTCCCAAGGAGCTGGGATTACAGACGCCCACCAGCACGCCTGGCTAATTTTTTGTATTTTTAGTGGAGACAGGGGTTTCACTATGTTGGCGCAGCTGGTCTCGAACTCCTGACCTCGTGATCTGCCCACCTTGGCCTCCCAAAGTGCTGGGATTACAGGCGTGAGCCACGGCAAATTTAAAAGGATGATTTGCAGCACTAGTGGCAGATCATTTTAAAAAATGCTGGTGCCTGGGCCCTACTAAGTTTTTTGATTGAATTAGTTTGGAGTGGGGCTCAGACACGGTTTTGTTTGTTTGTTTGTTTTAAAGTTCCACCAGTTGATTTCACTGTGCAGCCAAGGGGTGGTGACCACTCGTTAAAGGGATGAGGCCAAGCTGGTGAGGGTTCCTGGGATTTGCAGTGGCTCACTTTCCTCCCATTCCTGTTCTCAGATGGCGCTCCCGACGCTGCCGTCCTACTGGTGCAGCCAGCAGCGCCTGAATCAGCAGCTAGCACGACAGCGAGAGCAGGAGGCCCGGCTTCGGCAGCAGTGGGAGCAGAACAGCCGTTACTTCAGGATGTCTGACATCTGCAGCTCCAAACAGGCAGAATGGAGCTCTAAAACCTCCTACCAGCGGAGGTAATTGTGCGGTAACTGCCGATTGGATGGAAGTGGGGACCACTTGCTGGTCAGGGGATGAGGCCTTAAGGATTTAGGGAGCGTAGGATTTGCCAGGCAGTATGAATTACCTGCATGGTGATGTTTTTCCAGCTGGAAATGGAAAAAAAGATCATCAGTGCAGCCATACATTGGCATTGAAAAAGATAAAATGATGCAGAAGCATATGATAGAATTTGGAAGCCTGGTTGTAACCCCATATCCCCAGAGACAGCCACAGTTAACAGTCTGGCACATATCCTTCCATGCTGTTTCCCACTGGTATTTGTGCTTAAATATACACACACAAAGCTACTTTTATAGAAATACGTGTAAAAACATGGAGGCCAAAAGCATAGGCTTTGAAGTCAGACCTAGATGGAAATCCTGACCGTGTCTCTTGCTGAATGTATGAGCTTTGGTTTCCTCATCAATCAAGTGGGGCTACAGCAGACCTATGCTGTAGGATTTATGTGATGGATAATATATACATTATTTATACATTTATACATTTTCTTTTTGCAAAAAACAAGATTTTCTCTTACACATACTATTCTGTGACCTGCTGTCTCTGCTTTGGCTGGGGACACATTCCTGTGTCGTCATGACACATCTACCTCAGCCTCTTTTACCGACACAGCAGAGCAGAGCACGTTCCCTGTGGCTGTAGCATGATTGATTCAGGCAGGCCCCCTCTCACCCAGCATGCATGCCTATCAGCGGGAGAAGATGAAGGAGGAGAAGAGGAGGAGTCTGGAGGCCCGACGGGAAAAGCTCAGGCAGCTCATGCAGGAGGAGCAGGACCTGCTGGCCAGAGAACTGGAGGAGCTGAGGCTGAGCATGAACTTGCAGGAAAGAAGAATCCGGGAGCAGCACGGGAAGCTGAAATCAGCCAAAGAAGAGCAGAGGAAACTGGTAACTCCCCAGAGGGCTTCAGGAGGCTGTGGAGCAGGAGTGTTCCCAGCCTGAGTGTGTCGCACATGTAGGGTCATTCCTGGGTGCTCAGGTCTGATGAGATGCCAGTTAACTCCAGAGCCAGCAGGAAAAGAGCTTAGGTCCTTGTGCAGGGACTGGGTTTTGGATCAGTTAGCTGTAGTCTCTTTAGCCCCTTCAATCATTACATCTGAGTGCTTTTCCTTTCTTCCAGTTCTGTGGGTCCACAGAGATCTGGGACTAGTCTGTTTTACCTTCCAAAGTAGTTATGTGAAACAGTGAGCCCTAATCTGTGCTTTTCAGCCTGCTGTATTATTTTGAGACCCCCTAGATAGGACCTCTGTGTAGCATCAGATTTTGGCCCCCTTTTGTCATCATTGCAAGAGTCACTTGGTAGTGCCATGTGGTTCTCAGAGCTGTGCATGTGAAGCATGAGGGTTTGAACAGTGGTTGCAGTGACGGTGTGAAGGGAGGCACTCATAGCCTGAGCTGACTTCCACTGTGTGTCATCCAAAATGTGAATGGATTTGAAAAATGACATCAGGCTTTCCATTTTGTGTTTTCTTGATAGATTGCTGAACAACTTTTGTACGAACACTGGAAAAAGAACAACCCGAAACTTCGAGAGGTGAAAATCAGAGATCTCCATTGATTTATCTAAGTAGATGAAATCATGTTTCCAGACACTTTTTTTTTTGAACACGTATCTTGTACCGGGTTGAAACAGAGGAGGGAACCTTGAGCCACCTGAAAAGAGCGCCAGGCAGAAGATCTGGCACAGGCTGCGCTGAGCGGCTCATTCGGTTGTTGAACAAATGTTGATTGAACCTCCGCTGCCTGGTCTGCCAGGTGCGGGCATGGAGATTAGACATGGTTTCTGCTCATTAGCTTGTGTCCAGCATGGGAGCTCATTACAGGGCAGGATGCAGGGTGCTGGGCCAGCCTGAGAGGATGAGCATGGGCCAGCGCACTCAACTCTGGAGGGGTTGGGGAGGCTTCCCAGAGGAGTTCCTGGGGTGGAAGAGTTTGAAGGGATGTATGTGTGTAGAGGTGAGGAAAGGATGTTCTAGGTTGATGTGACTGTGAGAACCAGGCTTGAGACTCGAGAACAGAGCGAGCCCTGGGAGCTGAAAGTGTCTGGGTGAGGCTAGGATGTCAGATAGTGAGGGAGAACCCCAAGAAATGACGCTGGCGAGGCAGAGGGTGCCAGACATCGGAAGAGCTTGTGTGACCTTCCTCCAAAGGGGCTGGGGGCAGCATACAGGATCCCAGCTGCATTTCAGAGAGACTCCTCTGGTAGCAATGTGCCCGCCGACAGGGAGGGGTGCTGCGACAGCCCAGCCGGGGGTTGGTGAAGGCCTGAACTGGGCTGGCAGGGGAGGGGGTGGCCTCTTGGCTTGGTGGCCTTGTTCAGTGGAGATTTGGCTGCAGGGAGATCATCCCTCACTGTTATTCATTTATTTTCAACTTACAGTTTTTGTATACATTTGGTGCCTTCGTGTTATTCGTAGTTACATTTAGAAATCGCCAGGCACTAAATAATGGAACATCTGGTGCTTTTGTGCAGTTTGCACTAATCTGTGGGAGGACTCCTTAGCCCTGTTGGCTTCGGTGGAATCATCCAGAGCCGTTAAATCAGAAAAGTTTATTCAGAACATTCAAGTTAATTGCCTATGTTCACAGCTGTAAGTTGGGAAAGATTATTTTAAAACTTTTTTATAGAGACAGGGTCTCCCTGTGTTGCTCAGGCTGGTCTCAAACCTGGGCTCAAGTGATCCTCCCACCTCAGCCTCCCGAGTAGCTGAGACTACAGGTGGGCGCCACCATATCCAGCTAATTTTATAAACAGTTTCCCAAACAAAAGATTTGGATTGAATGTTGTGATCCATTTTCTAATCCAGGAGATTGTCTGCGCTCAAATCTCTTACTAACAATGCTAAACTTGTTGCACCTACTGGTGCATCACTTGATACAGGGAGTACGTAGTCCATCTGCTTTGCAGAGGAAACTTCGGGGAGCCAGGCACAGGGTTGAGTCTTCTCACTCAGCTGTCTCCCAGGGCCTGGCATGCAGTACATCAACCCAAGGTGGCCTTTGAAATTGTATTTCCATTTCAGCGTCCAGCCCAACCCTAGGGCTAGTGGGAGGGAAGTCTCTGTTACTTTGTACCAGCTCAAAAGATTGGTGTAGGAGTGCCTGGTCCTTTGGTCTTCTGATTGACATGCATTCACACTATACATGTTGAAGTCACCCCACGCTCTCTACTAGACGCCTGTGCCACTGAGTCCCCATGAAGCGAAGTCATGGCCACGTTCCCGCAGGTGGCACAGAGGGCAGGAGCACACTGTCCCCACAGTGCCCATCTGTCTGGTGAGGAAATTCACATCGTCCCCCTTCCATCCTCAGATGGAGCTGGACCTTCACCAGAAGCATGTCGTAAACTCTTGGGAAATGCAGAAAGAAGAAAAAAAACAGGTGTGGTATGTGGCTCTGGGAATAGCCGCGTATTCTGCTGTGCGAGACTGTTCACGTCTTTGCATTCGTTTACCGTTTTCAGCATCAGTGACTCCAGTTAAGGAGTGTAGTGTACTCTTTTCTTAGTTTACTTGACACATGTGAAAACTGAATGTTTGCTCTTACATATACCAGAATCCTATGTGATAATTCCCAGGGCAGAATAAGGCCAGGTGACCAGGGCTGGGAGGTGGCACATACAGCACGCGTCTTCTTTTTTTCTTTTGGAGGCAGGGTCTTGCTCTGTCACCCAGGCTGGTGTGCAGTGGCGCGACTCACAGCTCACTGCAGCCTCGACTGGCTGGGCTCAAGCAGTCCTCCTAACTCAGCCTCCCGAGTAGCTAGGACCACAGGTACGCACCACTGCGCCCAGCTAATTTTTTAATTTTTGTAGAGATGGGGTCTTGCTCTGTTGCTCAGGCTGGTCTGGCCTCCTGGCCTTAAACGATTCTCCCACCTCGGCCTCCCAAAGTGCTGGGATTACAGGCGTGGGCCACAGGGTCCAGCTAGGACGTGTGTCTTTAAGGGCATTTTTGTCTCTCTTTTGATGAAATCTGCATCGTAAACTCGCAGCCCTGGCTTACTGTAACCCCTTTGGGGTTAAGCTTCCACACCTCTGTGCACTGGTCGCTTTGCTGCCTGGTTCATTTTAGAAAGTGTTTTGTTGAGTGGGGAGGAAACCCAACATTATTGAGTCCCTCCCTGACTTGGCGTCTGAGGGCGTTGTCATTTGGGATTCAGGCAGGAACTGCCTGGGCCCTGTGGCCTGCAGAACGGCGGCAGGAAGCTAGGTTTTTGTTGGCTTACGGTACAGATATTGACCTGTGTTCATTTGGTCCCTTGTAGCAAGAAGCCACCGCAGAGCAAGAGAACAAACGGTATGAAAATGAATATGAAAGGGCCCGAAGGGAGGCGCTAGAAAGGATGAAAGCTGAAGAGGAGAGGAGGCAGCTGGAGGACAAGCTCCAGGCCGAGGCACTGCTGCAACAGATGGAGGAGCTGAAGCTGAAGGAGGTGGAGGTGGGCACAAGCCCCTCTCAGCCGTGACCTCCTCCACAGCTGCTCGTTAGCATGAGATGGGCACTTGAGAGGCTGCCCTAAGAAGAGGCCATAGCAGGGCTGAGATTCTGCAAAGGGCGGCAGCAGCCGGGTTCTCCCTCTCACATGCATCCCCATCTGCCTTGTGCTTTCCCATCCTCCTCGTTTGCGTGCCTGAATTCCAGAACATTAACGACATGGAGCCAGTAGCTGTTCTCTTAGAGGTGGTTAGCGGCCTGCTGTTGGAGAACCTTCTTAGAATCTGGATTTTCCAGTGCACTGAGTAGACACAATTTAATCGGGTGGTCTAGCACCCAGCTCTCCGTGGGGAGCAGGTTTCGGGTCTCGAGGCATAACTGAGGGTTTTTGGTCCAGGGGCTGTTTTTGGAGAACATGGCACAGTTTCCTTGAAAGAGATCTTTCTATTTAGAAGAGGGAGGCCCATGCTCCTGTGACCTCACTTCCCCTTGCCCAGGCCGTGATTTAGCAACTACATTCTTAGTGCCTACTGCTTATTCTAGGTGCTGAGCACTGGGTTGGGAACTAGAGATAGAGCCTGACCAAGGCCCACAGTCCTGACCTCCTGGTGGGGGCTGTGTCAGGTGGAGGACAGTTGTTAAGTTACAGTAAGAGTGGACCAGTACAGGATCCTGTGGGAGTTTAGAGTTCAGGGCTCAGAAAGGCCCTTGCAGGAAATGGCTCAGAGGGGATTGGATGAGTAAGTGAGTGGTGGGAGGGGATCGTGACCACCTGCATGGCCAGGCCTCTGTTGGTGTAGTGTCTGCGAAAAATGGAGATGGAGAATGAAGGAAGATCTGATTCCCACGATCTCAGATCTCAGTCGAGCTTACTCTCATCATCACCACAGGCGACCAAACTAAAGAAGGAGCAGGAGAATCTGTTGAAGCAGCGGTGGGAGCTAGAGAGGCTGGAGGAAGAGCGAAAGCAGATGGAAGCCTTCCGGCAGAAGGCAGAGCTGGGGTGTGTGTCAGAAGGGCCCCCCACTCTTCCCAGGCGGGTGGGCCTCTTGCTTTTTCAGACTTGCATTCGTGTTGCTGAAACCATAAAGGAGACAGCCTGGTCAGCAGTTATCTAACTTCTATTTAATTCTTTCTGAGATACTGAAGGCAGCCCACATTTGATTCTCCTTCAGGCGTTTCTTGAGACATCAGTATAACGCTCAACTCAGCAGACGCACACAGCAGATCCAAGAGGAGCTGGTAAGTCTGAAGAGACAGCCTGACATCTTTCTTAGCCTCTTTTGTAAAAAAGGCCTTCCATTGCTTAGTATATGAGTGCATTCTCGTAAGAATGAAGACAGTGAGGGGTTGGGGGAAAGGGGAGATGTTGGTCAAAGGATACATCCCTCGGTTGGGAGATCTGGGAGTAGTGTCCATCATGTTGATCACAGCTGATGATACCATATTGTATTCTTGAAATTTGCTAAGAGAGCCAATCTTAAGTGTTGTCACCATGAAAACCAACTGTGAGGTGATGGATATGTTAATTAGCTTGACCGTAAGGATCCTTTCCCAGTGTCTGTGTGTATACATAGATGGATAGATACAGGTATCAAAACATCAAATTATTTTTCAGTAACTGTGTTACTTAAAAAGCAGCACAACACAAAGTGAGATCACCCCCTTGACCAGCACCTGCAATCTCTGTCTATCCCCAGAGGTGCCTGTTTAGTTCACATCTTTCTAGATGTATTTACATACAGAGAGGTGGAGGTTTTTGTTTTTGTATTTAAATCTAATTGAGGTTGCATTCCTCAGCATCTTCAATTAACACTAAATCTCTTAATTTTTAAAAAGATCGGCCAGGTGCGGTGGCTCCCGCCTATAATCCCAGCACTTTGAGAGGCCAAGGCAGGCGGATCACCTGAGGTCAGGAGTTTGAGGCCAGCCTGAATGACATGGTGAAACCCCATCTCTACTAAAAATACAAAAACTAGCCGGACATGGCCGGGCGTGGCGGCTCACACCTGTAATCCCAGCACTTTGGGAGGCTGAGGCGGGCGGATCACCTGTGGTCAGGAGTTTGAGACCAGCCTGGCCAATGTGGTATAACCCTGTCTCTACTAAAAAATACAAAAATTAGCCGGGTGTGGTGGCAGGCGCCTTAATCCCAGCTACTTGGGAGGCAGAGACAGAAGAATCATTTGAACCTGGTAGGTGGAGGTTGCAATAAGCTGAGATCAAGCCGTTGCACTCAAGCCTGGGGGACAAGAGCGAGACTTCTCTCAAAACAAGAACAACAACAACAAAAACTAGCCAGGCATGGTGGTGCACACCTGTAATCCCAGATACTCGGGGGGCTGAGACAGGAGAATTGCTTGAACCCAGGAGGTGGAGGTTGCAGTGAGCCGAGATTGCACCACTGCACTCAAGCCTGGGCAACAGAGTGAGACTCTGTCTCAAAAAAACAAAAAAAGGTCATTATGCTTAGATTGAACCTGTTCTTTTCAGATAGCTCCTTTGTATTCCTAAGTACTTTGATGAGCTCCCTTGAAGTGAGGGAGACAGACCTAAGCTGCCCTTCCCATCCCTGCCCACTGCGGTCAGGGCAGGACATGGGGCACAGTGGCATGGTTGGTCCTGGTGTGCAGCTGTTTTTTATGGGGTCTTGCTCTGTTGTCCAGGCTGGATTGCAATGGCGCAATCACGGCTCACTGCAGCCTCAACCTGCCAGGCTCAAGCCATCCTCCCACCTCAGCCTCTCGAGTAGCTGGGACCATAGGTGTACATCACAATGCTTTGTAGAGATGGGGTCTTGCTACATTGCCCAGGCTGGTCTTGAACTCCTAGGCCCAAGTGATCCTCCCACCTCAGCCTCCCAAAGTGCTGGGATTGCATGCATTAGCCCCAGTGCCCAGCCTCCTGCATTATTTTAATGCTTCCATTATGTTGATGTACATAGTAGCTAATTCCCCACCAAGGAGCATTTTGGTTGTTTCTGGTTTTTCCCTCTTACCTAAAAGCTGCAACGAGTGTTTTGCACTTTTGTGTCACTGTGGTCTTTGTTCTTATAAGTGGGATTTTTGCCAAGTTGTATTCCAAAAAGTTGTGCAACCAGGTGTATCCGAGGGCATGTGGTGGTGGCTGGGTCTCCCTTTAGCCAGAGAGAAGCTCCTAGGCCTGTGCAGTGTCTGAACCACCCCTCGTGATTATCCCCAGTCTGTTCCAGAAATAATCCAGGATCTTCCCATCTCTGTCTTGAGAACACTGTGTAGAATCACGAATGTCTATGTAGAAAGGAAAGGGAGGGCAGGCCCCTCTGTAGGCTCTCATTGCAGAAGGACTCTGTCCAGCCCAGCCACGTGCCGCCCTCTGCTTCCTCTAGGAGGCAGACAGGCGGATCCTGCAGGCCCTCCTCGAGAAGGAGGACGAGAGCCAGCGCCTCCACCTGGCCAGGCGGGAGCAGGTCATGGCCGATGTGGCCTGGATGAAGCAGGCCATTGAGGAGCAGCTGCAGCTGGAGCGGGCGCGGGAGGCAGAGCTGCAGATGCTGCTGAGGTGAGTGGCAGCTGCTGACTGGGCTGGATGCTCCTGGCCTCAACTCTGATACCTTGAAATGCCCCATGGGTCACCTGTTACTGAAATATCTATTGGCTGGGCGTGGAGGCTCACACCTGTAATCCTAGCACTTTGAGAGGCCGAGGCAGGTGGATCGCTTGAGCCTAGGAATTTGAGATCAGCCTGGGCAACATGGCAAAACTCCAGGCTCTACCAAAAATACACAAATTGGCCAGGCGTGGTTGTTCATACCTGTAGTTCCAACTACTCGGGAGGCTAAGTGGGAGGATCACTTGAGCCCAGGAGGTTGGGGCTCCGATTAGCCATGACTACACCACTGCACTCCAGCCTGGGTGACAGAACGAGACTCTGTCTCAAAAAAAAAAAAAAAAAAAAAAGAAGAAGAAGAGATAGCTGTGTATGTTGTCCATCATTCCTGAGGAGCACATCTTCATAATGGACCTGGCCTCTGGGGGTGTTTCCCTTGTATTATCTGAGGTGGAAATCATTAAGGTTTAGAGTAACGATGTGTTCATCTGAAATCTTAGAGGTTTAGAAGGAAATTATTTTTTTTTTTTTGAGATAGAGTCTTGCTCTGTCACCCAGGCTGGAGTGCAGTGGCATGATCTCGGCTGACTGCAATCTCTGCCTCCTGGGTTCAAGTAATTCTCTGCCTCAGCCTCCCGAGTAGCTGGGATTACAGGCGCCCGCCACCACACCCGGCTACTTTTTGTATTTTTAGTAGAGATGGGGTTTCACCATCTTGGCCAGGCTGGTCTTGAACTCCTGACCTTGTGATCCGCCAGCGTTGGCCTCCCAAAGTGCTGGGATTACAGGCGTGAGCCACTATGCCCAGCCAGAAGGAAGTTATTATAGAGATGTTGAATGCTGCTTACATCTATAAAACTGAGTTTGGGTCCTAAAGACTAAACTAGTAGATTGAAATCATCAAATAATAAGTAGCATACATTGAGCACTTACTGCATGCTGGACACTGTGCCGGGTGCTTTACAGGCCTCATCTTACTGAGTCCTGACATCCAGCCAAGTGGTGGCTTGTGAGACCCGGAGACTTGAAGAGGTCACTCCGTCCAGGGTGAGCTATCAGTGACACAGGCATGCGGTGGCAGGGTTCAGGCACAGGCAGCGCCCTCCTCTCCATGTTCTGATGGTTTCATTCATCTCTGTGTTAAACAGCCACGGTGTAAGTCATCCCAATTCCTTTTTATAAGGAGATGGGGTATTAAAAGGGTAACTTAAAATACTTCCAACAGGGCCAGGCACGGTGGCTCACGCTTGTAATCCCAGCACTTTGGGAGGCCAAAGCAGGTAGATCACTTGAGATCAGGAGTTCAAGACCAGCCTGACCAACATGGTGAAACCCTGTCTCTACTAAAAATACAGTAATTGGCCAGACATGGTGGCACATGCCTGTAATCCCAGCTACTCAGGAGACTGAGGTACTAGAATCGATTGAACCTGGGAGGTGGAGGTTGCAGTGAGCCGAGATCGCACCACTGCACTCTAGCCTGGGCAACAGAGCGAGACCCATCTCAAAAATAAAAAAAATGAAAAACTTCCAACAGTACTTTCCGTGGATGCTGTCCTTAATTGTAATCTTTTCAAAGTGCATGTGGATGTTTATCTGCAGTGTGGTCCTGCAGAAGCCATGTGCCCTGCAGCCCTGTCTGTTCCGTAGCTCGCTTCCTGCCAGGGCGGGGAGGAGCCTGCTGTCATCCCTTTTGTGTTTGCCCAGGGAGGAGGCCAAGGAGATGTGGGAAAAGAGAGAGGCAGAGTGGGCCCGAGAGCGCAGCGCACGGGACAGACTGATGAGCGAGGTAATCCCAGCTGCGGCGATGTGGACCGGCTGTTGGGTCTTGGGCAGGTGTCTGGAAGTCCATGGTCAGTCACCCTGCCAGATGCTCTGGGAACAGAGTCTTCTCTGGTCATTTTAAGTGGGCTTTAAAAATCATTGAAAAAGTAATATGAGCTTAGTAGAAAAGAATTCAGAAGTACAGGAAGTAGAAATGGAAAAAAGTCCCCCAGAGCCCATCCTGTATGCAGCCGTAGCTGCTGCTTCTGTCTGCTCTTCTGTTTCTATGCCTGACATTTTTTCTACATGTATTTCTTACTGTCTTGTGCTATTTGGCTTCAAGCGTTGTGACATGCTGTTACATCTTTATAAACGGCATGTCAGGGGCTGTATCACGGACTGTCCTCTGTCACCCGCTGCCTTTCCATTCCCTCTTATGGGTGTGCTGTGTTGTTCTAATTGGAAGCCATTCTGAGAAACGCTGCAGAGAGCCTCTTGGTGCCTGAGGCTCTTCCCACACGTTTCCCCCCTCGGGGTAGATGACAGCCGTGACCTGGAGGACATAACTGCTTTCCTGGTCAGTGTGTACACTGTGCGTGGAAGATATACCCCAACCGCAGAGAAATCTGGGAGGAGAAGAGAGAGTGTTACCCATGGGCTGAAAGCTGTTGTAAAGTGGTTTCAAATGAGAAACTCTACGTTGTGTCTGGTAGTATGCTGTATTTTGGAATCCACAGGAAATTGGGTCGTGATTGGTGATGTTTTGCTCTTGTAAATACCAAGAATTCTCCAGTGCCTTTTGATTTTCCTCATTTAAATTTCCCTCCTGATGGCGGCCACTTTCTGTTCCCCCCAGCCCTGCAGCCTAACTGTTGAGAGTGTCAGGTGGTTTTCTGCTCCTGACTGTGGCCTGGGCTGGAGTTCAGATGTCACACGGCTCTGGGGCCAGGTCTCAAACACAGCAGGTTCAAAAGGTTAGAGGACCACCCCAGCTCCACCTCTGGTCATCTGTGTGGCTTGTGGCTCTCTTGTTTTTGGAACCCGCTGATAGGAAGGAGACTCACCTTGTTGCTCCAAGGTTTCTCTGGCCCCGGGGAGACAGCTCCATCCCCATCTCCTTTGATTTCTTTGGCACTCAGCTGTCTCTCCATAGTACACAGTCTGGATACATTTTGTGTGTCTTGGGTTGCGAGGGAAACATTTCTTGTATACTGGCAAGCGTGGCCGACATCGTGAGAGCAAATCCTGTCATCTGGCTCTGCCTCTGCGTACCTGGGCCTGAGGCCCAAGGATGAGGCTGGGCCTTGCTGTGGCTGCAGCCTGTCCAAGGCTTGTAGAACCAGGATCTGTTAGGGTCAACCTCAAAGCTGCCCTTTTCTTTCTGCTGAGGTTAGGTTCTGACAGGGAGACAACAGCAAATACAAGAGAAGATTGAGCAGAACCGACGGGCACAAGAGGAATCCCTGAAACACAGGGAGCAACTTATTCGAAATCTTGAGGAGGTGAGAGAGTTGGCTCGTCGCGAGAAAGAGGAGAGTGAAAAGCTGAAATCGGCCAGGAAGCAGGAGCTGGAAGCCCAGGTAGGGCTGAGCCCAAGGGCGGGAGGCACCGGGCCTGCCAGGTTCTCTGCATCATCATGGGACAGGGTTCAGAGCCGCTGGACTGCCTGGCAGGGCTTGCGCACGTTTGAGAGCACGGTGCTCCCGTTTCCATCCCAGCTGCAGTCCTCATCCTCTTGACTGTGGCTTCTTTCCCTCCACATCCTCCATGTCGTGTGGGTGAGGCCGGTACTGCTGTCTGTTCTCTTTACTCTGTCTGCTTCTGCAAGCAGTTGGCTTACCGGGGGCCATAGATCTCTCTTCATTTCAGTCCCTGATACATAAGACAGAACAGTCCTCCAAACACCTGGCCACAGGCCGAGCTTTTCACGAGGTACACGCCACGCATATGTATAGCCTCTCCAGCTTTCCATGAGGTACACGCCACGCATACAGCCTCTCCAGCTTTCTACGAGGTACATGCCATGCATACAGCCTCTCCAGCTTTCTACCAGGTACACACAATGCATACAGCCTCTCCAGCTTTCCACGAGGTACACGCCACGCATACAGCCTCTCCAGCTTTCCACGAGGTAAGCGCCACGCATACAGCCTCTCCAGCTTTCTATGAGGTACACACCATGCATACAGCCTTTCAAGTCCCGCATGCTCCCTTCCGTTCCTTGGCACGTGCATTGCTGTTGCTCAGCTGGATTCTCCAGTCTGGGTAGGGCCGCAGGCTTACCTTCCTCATCAGAGGCAGGGCTCTGCCCTGTGGGCCTTGTCTTGGGGTGGTGACTTTGCTCTTGGCACTCAGGTTGCAGAGCGCCGGCTGCAGGCATGGGAAGCAGACCAGCAGGAGGAGGAGGAAGAGGAGGAGGCCCGGCGGGTCGAGCAGCTCTCAGATGCCCTGCTGCAGCAGGAGGCGGAGACTATGGCTGAGCAGGGCTACCGGCCTAAGGTAGGAAGTCTGCCAGGATATAGGCCAACACCGGCAAGACAGACTCTGCCCGGCCCCTGCTCCCCTGGGCCTGCTCATCGCCCCGCGCCGGGGTCTGCTCTCCGGCCGTCCGGGTTATTCCTTGTTTCTCTTCTCTTGTATTTCTCTCTTCCCTGACCAGCAGGGAGCCCTGACACAGGGGCTGTTCCAGTCCTTGGTTGGGCCTCAAACCTTGAAGTGATTTTGCTCTGGCCTTGCCTACTAAGCTGCATGCCTGTCCACCCTCTTTGGTCAATCTAAGAAGAGCTGTGGCCACAGCTGCTGAGAGGGGTCAGAGCAGTAGATCTAGGCCTCAACTGTTGAGACAGTGAAGCCCGATGAACAAGAGACCAGTCCTCCTCCTCACCTCCCCTCCCTCCCTCCTGTGGGTGTCCTCTTCCTCCCCTCCCTCCCGTGTGTGTATCTGTTTCTCTGCCTCTCAGTGTCTTTGTTCCCGGACCTGTCTGCACAGCACCATGGGGAGCACAGAGAAGCAAATGCTGCCTTCCCTGCCCTGAGGAAGCTGATGACTGAAGCACCTCCACTGCTGGCTTGTCCCCTCTGCCCTCCTTTACCTAGGGCCACCCTGGCCACCCGGTGCCTAGAGTGCATTCCCCAGGACACATGCTGCAGAATGAGGGCTGGCTCCCTTGTGGTCAGATGACACTGGGAAACTGAGTGAAACATAATTAGAGCAGGTGCTGCGTTTGCCATAGGCCACTCGCCCTCAAACACTGACTGTCACAGTCACAGGGAACAGCATTTCCTAAACCCACTTGGCCGTGGATCAGTGAGAGTGTCAGGGTCAGGGTTTCACAGATCATATGTGAAAGTGTTTCTTAGGGCTAGTACTCAAAACCAAAAAGATATCAAGTGCCTCATTTATGGCTTAGGGTCAGATTTTTTCAGCTGGAAATGAAACAGCCATTTATATTGTTCTTTTAGCTTGTAGTTAAAACAAGGTTAATTCCTCATGCTGCAGATACTGCTGATCTGATCACTCTTATGTTTTCTTTCTTTTCTCAGCCTTACGGACATCCAAAAATTGCTTGGAACTGACTTCATGGGTACCATAAGTACAGAGAACAAGGGATGCTGAGGCTTCTGATCCCAGCCGCCAGGCAGTTTTACAGGGCTCTGTTAACAGTAAGTGCCCGGGGCACTGTCAGATGGCTCAGCAGTGCCTGCTCAGGTTCATCATTGAAACATCCCAGTGTTTGGCCAGACATTAAGGTGTCGTGAGAGTCCCTTTCATGCCTTTCTTACCCAAGCAAGGGTCTTTGATGGGCACGTGTTTACAGCGCTGCTGCATAGTCTTGTAATATATTAACAGTCACATCAACTGAAGGTCAATACTAAGAGCCACAGGTTGTACCTGTGATGGGGCGTGTGGTTTCCTGTTGTCTCACCTTTAATTGTCAACCTCCAGTGTTGACTCTAGAAATATGAGGAAAGCTTTTCAGTTTTTAAAATTGCCATTTAAATTTAGTCTATTAAAAACAAACCTAGAGGTCTTGGTGCAGTTGATTTCAGAGTTTATTAATTTAGTGGTCCCAAAAGTATTACATCTTTTATATTCTGGAAGAAAAGAACTGTGAACAAATTAGAACCCCGGAACACTCTGACGTCCATGGACGCATTCCAGAAAAGTGGCAAGAGATGAGTCTTTCCTCCTCCAGGAAGCATTTTGGTAGAATTTCCATAGAGCATTGTCTGTGAGTGACTGATCCCAACATGTATGTTACTAAGCCCCAAAACGAACTTCAAACTGGGTGTGGTGGCACGTGCCTTTAGTCCCAGCTACCCGGGAGGCTGCGGCAAGAGGATTGCTTGAGCCCAGGAGTTCGAGTCCAACCTGGGCAAAAGAGTGAGACCCCATCTCTAAAACCAAAAAGGTACCTTAGAAGGTCACCTGGTTGGCTAACCTTTTAAAGGCAGGGGCGTGACACGTAGGACACATTGGGAATGTCTTGGCTACTACATGTAGCCTTCTGGGATATATGTGCCCAGAGGGAGAAGCACTGAGCCTGAAGAAACTAGATGAGTCTCAGAACCACAGACCGGCCAGAAATCTCTCCCACCATTATATCAGCGTGATACAGGTCTACATTCATTTCTACAAACAGGAACAAGTTCCTTGCAGCAATAATATTATTTTATGACTTGTATTTTTACTATACCCTTCCTCTGAGGTTTAGTTTTCATCACATTATGTTCAAGATTCCATATCTCCGTAAATTACAGCTAATTACAGGGCATTGTTCCATGGTTATTAAAAATCAGAGTTTATTAAAAATCCTGAGTCTTAAGGGCTGTCTTACCTTTCACTTCCACTGTCCTGTAGAAACAGATCAAGCTGCAAACCACGTCCTTCATCTGTTGTTCATTTTCTTGCAACTCTTTGACTCTGATCCCCTGAGCAGCACGTTCATCACGCATGCTCTCTGTTGCGTTCCCCATTTCAGATGTCCAGTAATGGTGAAATAAAATCCTGCTTCGACAGCATGGCTTCCTGGCTTTGTTACGGATTTTCTGATTGACTGCCGTTAAGTGCATTGTTGGTGACAGGCTTTTTACTGATTTAATCCACATCTCCCACATACAGGCTTGGCTATTTTCTATGACTGATCACGTTTTATAGGTTATATTCATTTTTCTTAGGAAAGTGGTTTCTCCCTTCTTTCAATTGGAACCACAGTGAACTGAGTTTAAACCTTTTTTTTTTTGAAACACGGCTTTGTTCTGTCACCCAGGCTGGGGTGTAGCAGTGCAATCTCAGCTCACTGCAACCTCCACCTCCCAAGTTCAAGTGATCCTCCCACTTCAGCCGCCCCAGTAGCTGGAACTACAGGTGTGTGCCACCAGGCCTGGCTAATTTAGTAGAGATAGGGCTCTTGCCATGTTGCCCAAGCTGGTCTCGAACTCCTGGGCTCAAGTGATCCGCCTATCTCAGCCTCTGAAAGTGCTAGGATTACAGGCATGAGCCACTGTTCCTGGCCTGAATTTTTTTTTTTTTTTTTTTTTTGATACAGAGTCTCACTCTTGTTGCCCAGGCTGGCGTGCAATAGTGTGATCTCGTCTCACCGCAATCTCCGCCTCCCGGGTTCAAGTGGTTCTCCTGCCTCTGCCTCCCGAGTAGTTGGGATTACAGGCGTGAGCCACCACGCCTGGCCAGTTTTGTATTTTTAGTGGAGACAGGGTTTCTCCATGTTGGCCAGGCTGATCTCGAACTCCTGATCTCAAGTGATCCACCTTCCTCCTCTGTCTCCCAAAGTGCTGGGATTACAGGTGTGAGCCACCACACCCAGCCTAATTTTTTGTTTTTGAAGCCTGGTGGTAATCATTAGCATTAAAATTATGTTACACTGGTTCACTGCCCTAATTAAATGTTTCTGCTCTACACTGGTCCAAAATAATTTGTTTTCTAAACTTAAAGTTTCCACTGTCTTACTATTTCTACTGTGGCCCATACACCTCTGGGCCCAGGGTATTTGCATTTTGTATTTTTATTGTGTTGTAGTTACAGATACATATATGGGTTTTATTGTTGCTAAGCACCTTTTTCTACTGACTCGAAATGAGTGGTTTCTAGATTATTCTTTGGCAGTTTCTTCTACAAAGGTCCATTCCTTTGGTACAGATGGTGCTGAAACCACTGCTAGGAAATGCTTCTTGCACTGGTATAGAAGTGATGACTTGGCTGGGCGCAGTGGCTCACGCCTGTAATCCCAACACTTTGGGAGGCCGAGGCAGGCAGATCACGAGGTCAGGAGATCGAGACCATCCTGGCCAACATAGTGAAATCCCGTCTCTACTAAAATACAAAAGGTTAGCTGGGCATGGTGGCGCTTGCCTGTAGTCCCAGCTACTTGGGAGGCTGAGGCAGGGGAATAACTTGAACCGGGAGGTGGGGGTTGCAGTGAGCTGAGATCATGCCACTGCATTCCAGCCTGGATGACAGAGCAAGACTCCGTCTCAAAAAAAAAAACCTCGCTTTCTGCTCCTCGCTTAGCACACGTTCTCTCTAGGGAAGGTACTAGGCCTGGGAAGTCACAGCTGACCATGAACAGTGACAAGAGTCAGACGCTCGAATCGGACACATGGATGAGCAGACGTCACTGGCAAACAGCCAGTTGTCACTCATGGGGCTGAAGAGATGTTTGTGCAATATGTACAGTCTATACATCCATATTTATGGATACGACTTTTTCATCTGGGTTTTTAGGTAGTTTTTGGTGTTCATAAAATATAGAGCAATCATTTAAAAGATATTGTAAAGCCTTTAAAAACACTGGCCTTAGCAGTTCTTGATGACCTCGACTAAATTCAGCCATGAAGCTCTGTGGAGTTGGATTTTAGGAAACTGATTTTACATTGTAATGTCTTCCTTTTAGAGGGATGTTTATGCCTTAGTATCACTCAAAACACAGTATCTACCTCAAAGGATACATGCGTGGTTTTTTCTGCAGGTAGCTGGAGTTTTTTACTGCTGTAAGAAACTGATTGTATAAATTCACTATCGTTCGTTTGTTCATTGTCACTTGTTTAGTTTCCAGTTTTTTCTATTAAAATGGAGTTGCTGGAATCCTCCGTGCACATAACTTCTAGTTCAGGTATTCTAGTTGATCTCCAGCAAAATGACTAGAAAGGGGCCACTTTCCATATTACAGCCATCAGGATCATGATGGAAAAGCCTGGATTTATGTCAGGGTACTGCCTTGACGCTGCCCTAGCGCTTTTCTTCTCATTTTCTCCCAATTAACTGCTCTAGACACTGCAGCTCCCTTTCTTCATTTCCCCACAACACTCCCTCTTCCATTTCCATATGGAAATGCTTACAGTAGGAGGCTGGCGGGCGGGGATCCCCCACGTGAGGGTGCTCAAGCTGTGCGGCACTGTGGTCCGTGCCGCTGACTCCTGGCTCCTGAGACAAACCAAGCATCTGGACCTAAGCAGCTGGGCCACCGACACTGGCTTCCAGTTCACATGTACAGCTCTTCTCTATCCATCGGGGTTGCTGATACACATGGGGTTCTGTGGATACTTTGCAGTTACTGTGGCCTCTGCCGGTCATAATGGAGCAGTGCTAGTTTTCTGGGCCCAGGCCTCACCACCCAGGCCCTCCTAGGTGATGTGAGCCAGGCCTCTGCCTTCTGCTGCCATCCTCACATCAGTAACTCCTGGCTCTGCAGCTCTAGTCCAGACTCTGATGTCCCTACCTCTCTGACATCTCCACGGTGTCTCAGAGGTGCCTCAAGCTCAGCATAGCCAAGACGAATGAGTGATCTCCCCCAAACCCCCATCAGAAAAAAAACCCCAGACGCATCTGGCCCTTCTGCAGTGTTCTCAGATAAGCGCCTGGTGATGCCATCTATCCTGCCAGTTGATTATGCCTTAGACCGAGGGCACCGGCTCCTGGTGGCCTCCTGAACCTTTGGCCATCCACTTTGCTCTTTAATGTCCACCCTTCATGTCACCAAGCCAGCCCATTTTTTTCTTCATCGTAGAGTCAGAGATCATTTACAAATAAACACCTGAAATGAGACTCGTCCACCTTCTTCAGTGGCTGCTCACTGCACTTAGTACCAAGAGCCAAATCCTTTCCTGGCCTACAAGGCCCTGTCCTGACCGGCCCTGCAGAGCTTTCCTGAAATGTACTGCTCTGCCTTCTGGCCCAGAAGATAGAAATACCAGATTGGTACAAAGATGTTGCTCACAGCATTAGTATGGTAACAGAAACCAATAACCTAGGCATCTAACACCAAGAGGCTGTTTGAGCTTGGGATGTTATGCAGTGAATTAAAGTGGAGTGGAAAACAAAGTTATGGAGAAATGTTCTGCCACATTAAAAAGTTAAGGCCAGCACTTTGGAGGCCGAGGCAGGAAGATTGCTTGAGCCCAGGAGTTTGAGATCAGCCTGGCAACACAGTGGGACCCTGTCTAAAAAAAAAAAAAAAAAAAATAGGCATGGTGGTTCGCACCTGTTGTCCCAGCTACTTGGGAGGCTGAGGCAGGAGGATCACTTGAGCCCTGGAGGTTGAGGCTGCAGTGAGCTATGATTGTGCCACTTGCAACGTAGCCTAGGTGACAAAGGGAAACCCTTTCACTAAAATAAAAAATCTGGTATATTCATTCAACGAATACAACATTGACATTGAAAATGAACTAGGCTGGGCACGGTGGCTCACGCCTGTAATCGCAGCTACTTGGGAGGCTGAGGCAGGAGAATCACTTGAACTCGGGAGGCGAGGTTGTGGTGAGCTGAGGTTGCACCATTGCACTCCAACCTAGGCAACAAGAGCGAAACTCTGTCTCAAAAAAGAGAAAAGAAAATGAACTAGCTACACACATTGACCTAGTTGAATCTTGCAACATTAAGGGAAAGAATTCATCAATAGGGTTCTGTTTGCACGTTCAAAACCAGTCAAAACCCTAAGCTGTGACCTAGGGATGCACACAAAGGTTTGGTTCAGCTAAACGCAAGGAAGTGATAGGCACCAAAGTCTAAGGGAAAGAGGGACCCTGTGCCACCCAGGCTCTATTCCTCTAAGCCTCCTCCCAAGGCAAGGAGAGGACCACACAGGAAGCAGCCTTCCCAGGGGCCTCCCTCCTCTGACACTCCCAGGAAGGAGGACCGGGAGGAGATGGGAGCCCCAAGTCTCTGCTCCACACCTCCCTCCCGCCGCACCACTGCCAGGGTTGCAGCCAGGGTTGAAAGAAAGGCACTGTTCTGTTTCTTAACCTGGTGGTAGTTACACAGGTAGCCACTTTATAATTGCACATAGATGCATCAGACATATTTCTTTGTTTATAGGTCACAATAAGAGAGAGACTGAGAGAACACTTGAATCAAGTGTGAGGGGAAGAACAGCCTGTGGCCCACACTGGCCCGGGTTCTAGTCCTGATGCCCACCACTTAGTGGCTGGGTGACCCTCCTGGCCCAGTTCTGTGAAATGTGGAGAAGGGAGATGTGAAGGTGTGAAAAGATAGAGTAAGGAAGCATGGAGCTCAGGCCAGGCATGGTGGCTCATACCTGTAATCCCAGCACTTTTGGAGGCCGAGGCAGGTGGATCACCTGAGGTCAGGAGTTTGAGACTAGCCTGACCAATATGGCAAAGCCCCATCTCTACTAAAAATACAAAAATTAGAGGCCGGGCACGGTGGCTCACGCCTGTAATCCCAGCACTTGGGAGGCTGAGGTGGGCGGATCACCTGAGGTCAGGAGTTCGAGACCAGCCTGGCCAACATGGAGAAACCCCATCTCTACTAAAAATACCAAAAAATAGCTGGGCATGGTGGTGCATGCCTGTAATTCCAGCTACTTGGGAGGCTGAGGCAGGAGAATTGCTTGAACCCGGGAGTTGGAGGTTGCAGTGAGCCGAGATCAAGCCATTGCACTCCACCCTGGGCAACAAGAGCAAAACTCCGTCTCAAAAAAAAAGCATGGAGCTCAGAAGGCCCTACTGTTTCTGCCAATAGGATGCTGCCCCAAGGAGTCCACCTGCCTGGGGTGGAACTGGCCATGGCTCTGCCTTTGGACTGGACTTGGGCAGGATTTCCATTGCTTCCAGCGGAAGCAGGTCAACTCCTGGCTGTGCACCTCATTCCCCAGCACTCCCTGGACTGGGAGACTCTCCCTCAACTCTGGGGATGGGGTGGACCGGCCTGTGCCATGCCCTGAAGGGAGGCTTCTGCTTCCAGCAGCAGGCACAGGGCCGCTCCTTTCAGAAGGGCCGCTGTGGGGGAAGTCATTGTGCTTGTGAATGAGGCTCCTTGAATCATTCCAGCAGTGGAACTGGGCAGCGTCCTCCACACAGAGTTCAGAGTCTTACCTGAGCAGTGGTTACTGAAGATCTCAATTTGAAACAAACAGAAAAGACAAGAAATATTTGTGGCAGCAGTAAGGAATTGAAAGACAAAATACAAACCCGGCCACCCAGGCTCTATTCCTGTGAGCCTCCTCCCAAGGCGAGGAGAGGACCACACAGTAAGCAGCCTCCCCAGGGGCCTCCCTGCTCCGACCCTCCCAGGAAAGAGGACTGGGAGGAGATGGGAGCCCCCAAGTCTCTGCTCCACACCTCCCTCCCACCACACCCCTGCCAGGGTCACAGCCATTCCTCACCCTCTCCTGGTTCCAGAAGGCCTGTCGTCCTTGGCCTGGATGTCCACCTGTGCCAGTCGAGCCCTGCGGTTAAGAGCACAGGCTCAGTGCTCTCACTTGCTCCAACATGAACTGGGCTCCAAGGGCCGAGCCTTGGTTTCTTTATCTGCAAAATGGGGGTAGTTTTAATTCCTACTTGGGGAGCCTGCTTTCATAACTGACTGGGAAATGCCCAGAGCACTTAGCCCAGTGGCTGCTCGGAGTGCAGGTGTCAGCTCAGCCCCTCTGGTCTGAAAGCAACAGGCCGGGCTGGGGAAGAACCTGAAGTGGGGTCCTGGGAAGGGGCGGCGGGAAGAGGGAAGCAGAGAGCAGTTTGCATCCCTGGGCCCCGAGGGGAGGACAATTTGCATCTCCTGGCTCGGAGGGGAGGGCCAAGGTACCACTCAGGCCCGGGGATGCAAATTGCAAAACCAAATTAGACTTCAAAACGCCCCCATGAAGGGCCAGGCACGGTGGCTCACGCCTGTAATCCCAACACTTTGGGAAGCCAAGGTGGGAGGATCACCTGAGGCCAGATATTCGAGACCAGCCGGGCCAACATGGCGAAACCCATCTCTATGAAAAATACAAAAATTAGCCTGGTGTGGTGGCACATGCCTGTAATCCCAGCCACTCAGGAGGCTGAGGCAGGAGAATTGCTTGAGCCTGGAAGGCAGAGGTTGCAGTGAGCTGAGATCGCGCCACTGCACTCTAGCCTAGGCGACAGAGTGATTAAAAAAAAGTAGTATGAAAAAGATGACAGCCGAGCGCAGTGGCTCACGCCTGTAATCCCAGCACTTTGGGAGGCCAAGGTGGGTGGATCACCTGAGGTCGGGAGTTTGAGACCAGCCTGGCCAACATAGTGAAATCCCATCTCTACTAAAAATACAAAATTAGCTGAGCATGGTGGTGCATGCCTGTAATACCAGCTACTCAGGAGGCAGAGTCAGAATAATCGCTTGAACCTGGGAGGCGGAGGTTGCAAGCCAAGATCGCACCATTGCACTGCAGCCTGGGCAATGAGAGCAAAACTCCACCTCAAAAAAAAAAAAAGAAAGAAAGAAAGAAAGAAAAGAAAGAAAAAGATGAATTGCTAACAGTGTTGGAGCAAGTGGACAGTCATCTTGGAAAATAATAAAGTGGAATCCCTCCCTACCTTTAAAAAAAAGAAAAAAAAGCAATCGTGTATGTAAAGTGTTCTGGGAGCAATGGGGCTTACAGGACTAAGCCAGGCCAAGAGGCCAGGGCTAGGTGAATGGGATTCTGAAGGGAAGGGCAGTGGAGAGCCAGGCCCAAGGGGGCCTGTGGGATGATGCAAAGGAGGGGGAAGATGAGCCCCAAGAAGGGAAGGTGGGGGTTGGGTGAGAAGAGAGACTTTAGAGAAGGAGACATGGTCTTTGGTGAGAAGCCTCCTTTGGGAGACAAATGAGGCTGAGAAGTTCTGAGCAGGTTTGAGTGGTTTGAGGAACTGGAGATATAGCAGCTGGGGAGCTGTGAGCCCAGCAGGGGCCTGGGTGTGGGGCAGGACGGACGGTGGGGCAGGTGGGAGGATGAGGCGAGGGTCCAGGCCAGCCTCTTCTCATCTCCAGCACCCCTCCCTCCAGGACTCGGTGGGAAGTTGACACACATACTTTGAACACAGCTGGAACCACCGGGCCTGGACTGGAGTTCTGGCTCCTGGTTCCATGGCTGGCTAGCAGACGCTGGGACCCCCAGAGTCCATAGACCACAGGGACCTGTTTCTGGGCAACCTCACGCGCCCGGCCTGCTGGACAGCGAGCAGCTCCTCAGATGGTCGCCGAGTGCACTTCTGCCCTATCAGCTTCAGGGGATAGAGACTGCTGCGGTCACAGTGTTGTGAGCAAGGGGACAGGCGCTCAGACAGTCCTTCCAGTCAGCCATTCCACAAACGCTAGAGAGGTCCAGGCGCCAGGGACTCAGCCCCCTGCTCGAGGGCCTCTAGGCTGTGAGGGCAGCAACTGTCACGGCTGTGAAAGTTATCTGTTTACATAGCCTGTTGCCCACCTGCCCCCCCATATCTAGACTCATGGGGAGGAGCCTTTGAGGCGCTGCAGTGCAGCCAGCCCAGCAGTGCCAGCTCCACGTGGAGCCCACCTTCCCTGACTCCATTAGTTTTTTTTTTTGAACCAAAGTCTCCCTCTGTCGCCCAGGCTGGAGTGCGGTGGCGCGATCTCAGCTCACTGAAACCTCTGCCTCCCAGGTTCAAGCGATTCTCCTGCCTAAGCCTTGCGAGTAGCTGGGATTACAGGAGCCTGCCACCACACCTGGCTAATTTTTGTATTTTTAGTAGAGACAGGGTTTCACCATGTTGGCCAGGCCGGTCTCAAACTTCTGACCTCAGGTAATCCACCCGCCTGGGCCTCCCAAAGTGCTAGGATTACAGGCATGAGCCACCGCGCCCGGCCCCGACTCCATTGTTGATGGTAGTGGCTGCTGCCATTATGCCAGCTGCAGCAGGGAAGCACAGCTGGGGCTGCACACTCCATGGAGCCACTAGGAGCCTTACCCCTTCTGGGTTGGGATGGGAGCTCTCAGTGCCTCTGCAGCCACCAAAACTGCAGCTGCAGACCCAGGCCTCCCGCTCCAGGAGGGTGGGGCTACTGCCGCCCAAACTGCAGTTGTGGATTTGAGCCTCCTTGTGCTCTTGGGTTCTTGGGGGATCCAGGAAGAGGCAGGATCTGCCCTCCTGGGTACAGCTGCAGCCACTGGACCTATGACTGCAGACCTGAGCCTCCCGCTCCATGAAGCAGGCAGGAGCTGGGGACAATCGGGAACCCTTCCTCTTCTCAGTTGGTGGGGCGGGAGCTCCCGGGTGCAGCTGTGGCTGCCCTCCCAGGTGCAGGACCTGGGTGTCTCTGCAGCCTGCATCCTCGGGTGCCCCAGAAAGGACCCCCCAGTCTCTGCAGGCTCAGGGGTGTCTGTTCCCACTGCCTGGCCTCTCTCAGCTCCCAGCACCCTCTCCCATCTCAGAGCAGGGTTGGGGCCAAGCCCTGGGGCCATGAATGGCAGCAGGAGGCAGACAGTCCTGGGTGGGAGTGGGCAGGGTCCCCAGTAAGGCCTCACCTACAGGCCAGGGGGGGCCTGAAGGCTGGGGGCCAGGCTGCCAGTCCTGCAGACCTGAGTGGGGACTTGTGGTACCTCTTACGGGCCTGCCCATGGCCACCCATGGACCAGTCGGCAGGCACTTCCTCCCCCTGTGGTCCATAAAAGCCCTGGGCTCAGCCAGAGCAGACCAGAGGATGGAGAGGGCGGAGAGATGATGACGGGACAACCAGCTGCAGAGAGGAGTGCTCTCTCTGATGACAGCTGCAGATGATGGGACGACTCCTCTACTACTGCAGAGAGGAGTAGTACCCTTTCCCCTGAGAGCTGCAGAGACAACCTGCTGGCAGAGAGGAGCTACCCTCTCTACTGAGAGCTTCAGAGACCTGCAGAGACGTCCGAATGACTTGCCTGTGGAGAGGAGCCACCCTCTCCAGGGCCTCCTCTCTGCTGACAGCTGAACACTTGACGGGACGACCTGCCTACAGAGAGGAGCTGTTCTAACACTAAATAAAAATCTTTGGCCAGGCATGGTGGCTCACGCCTGTAATCCCAGCACTTTGGGAGGCTGAGGTGGGTAGATCACGAGGTCAGGAGATCGAGACCAGCCTGACCAACATGGTGAAACCCCGTCTCTACTAAAAACACAAAAATTAGCTGGGCATGGTGGCACGTGCCTGTAATCCCAGCTACTCAGGAGGCTGAGGCAGGAGAATCGCTTGAACCCAGGAGGTGGAGGTTGCAGTGAGCCGAGATTGCACCGCTGCACTCCAGCCTGGGCAACAGAGCAAGACTCTGTCTAAAAAAAAAAAAAAAAAAAGAAAAAAAAAGTCTTCACCCTCCACTTGTCTGCGTACCTCATTCTTCCAGGATGCAGGACAACAAGAACTCAGGCAAAGGCACTGGCCAGATATTTCCAGCCAGAAAAATCGACACCCCAGAGATCCTGTAACATTGTGACTCCGCCGGAGGCTGGGAAGCGCACCCTGGTGGTGAAGAGGAGTAAGGAGCATGACAGCAACTGACACACTCTCTCCTTGGATGTGAGGCTCGGCCTCCTGGGCTGTAAACATCCTTATCTGAAAAATGGGAAGAAACCACTCACTTCATCTGGCTGTAGTGAGGATGAAATGAATGAACATGTGTCAAGAACTCAGCACAGGCCAGGCGTGGTGGCTCACGCCTGTAATCCTAGCACTTTGGGAGGCCGAGGCAGACAGATCATGAAGTCAGGAGTTGGAGACCAGCCTGGCCAACATAGTGAAACCCCGTCTCTACTAAAAAAAATACAAAAAAATTAGCTGGGCATGGTGGCACGCACCTGTAGTTCCAGCTACTCGGGAGACTGAGGCAGGAGAATTGCTTGAACCCGGGAGGTAGAGGTTGTGGTGAGCTGAGATCACGCTGCTACGGTCCAGCCTGTCTCAAAAAAGAAAAAAAAAAAGAACTCAGCACAGTGCCTGGCACAGAGGAAATGTCAGCTAAAATTATAATGATGACTTCACATGACTCTCCTACACTAAAACATGTTTAAAAGCAGAAGCCAAGGAGCTGTGTGGTGGGAAAGGCCTGGAAACGGTCTACAGCAGAGCTTCGCAGAGTGTGGTCCCTGGAACCTGTTAGAAGTGCCTACTCCTGGGCCCCACCCCAGAGCTGCTGAACCAGACTGTGGGGGCCCGGCATGGTGAGCCTGCCAGGGTTCCAGGAGGTCTGCTGCTGGCTCTTTTGAGCCTCCTTGCCTGAGGAGGTTGCTCTGGGTGTGAGCTGTGTGAGACACTGGTCCTAAGCCTGCACAGACGTCCCCCTGAACAAGCAGGATCACAGCGAGGACGTGGCATCTTTCTGACTTCTCACTTGGAAAAGTACCCGTGGTGCTCAGGCCCTACCCCACCCTTCTTCCATTTGGGAGTAGAGTCCCAAGTCACCTAACCAGAGGACAATCACTGGTGACCATGGGCAGCCCTGATGAACCCCCATGCAAATCTATACCAGCTCCCCCTAGGAACCTGCACAGGTGGCCTTTCTCTGAAAATAAAATAAGACCAGTGGTTTTAAGACACTGAGCTCATTCCAGGACCCCATCACCTGTTAGGAAGAAGGGAGGGCATCTGTGCTGGGCTGGCTTTCGCTGCATTAAAAAAATTAAACGTAGGGGCCAGGCACAGTGGCTCACGTCTGTAATCCCAGCAGTTTGGGAGGCCGAGGCGGGTGGATCACTTGAGGCCAGGAGTTCGCACCAGCCTGGGTAACATGGTGAAACCCCATATCTAAAAATACAAAAAATTAGCCAGGGGTGGTGGTGCATGCCTGTAATCCCAGCTACTTGGGAGGCTGAGGCACGAGAATCGCTTGAACCCAGGAGATGGAGGTTGCAGTGAGCTGAGATCACACCACTGCACTCCAGCCTGGGTGACAGAGTGAGATCCTCTCTCCAAAAGAAAAAAACATTAAACTTAGGGAATAAATATATTATGATAAGATGCATGGAACTAGTATCTTGATGCAGCGTTCAAAGAAAGCTATTTGCTCTGGGTGCCGTGGCTCACACCTGTAATCCCAGCACTTTGGGAGGCCGATGCGGGCAGATCACCTCAGGTTGGGAGTTCAAGACCAGCCTGAGCAACATGGTGAAACCCTGTCTCTACTAAAAATACAAAATTAACCGGGTGGGGTGGTGCATGCCTGTAATCCCAGCTACTTCTGAGGCTGAGGTAGGAGAATCACTTGAACCCGGGAGGCGGAGGTTGCGGTGAGCCGAGATCACGTCGAGCCGAGATCGCGTCATTGCACTCCAGCCCGGGCAACAAGAGTGAAACTCCATCTCAAAAAAAACAAAAAAACAAAACAAAACAAAACCTATTTGCTAAGCACAGAGGAAGAAAAAGATAGTCATTACTGTAAAACTGCAGAGCCCCAAAGCATATGAAACACTGCATCTCACTAATGATGGCGTTTTGGGAGAACTTCCTCAGACCTTTTACAGAGTATCTGGAAACATCAACTAATTGATGGGGAGCACAGCATTACCACAAAAACACTTGTAGAGCCTGTTTATTGCATAACTAGCAGGCACAAATTCCAAAACGATTTTACAACACTTAAAGGGCACAATAATTACAGGAATAGAATGTACAATAAAAAGTACAGAATAATGAGTGACAGGGATCAAACACGTTGGAATAAAAGGCATCTCAGTTTTCCTATGCAGCATTTTCTTTTCTAGGAACACGTTACCTTCAACCAGGACAAGGAAAGAAAGAAAACTATACTATTGGAAAGCTCATGGGTGCCATTGAGGACAAAAACAGGCGAGTTTTGCTCTTGGTTCTGCAACTGAATCACTTGAGAAGCCGTGCACAGCTCCCGAGTTGTGCGTTTAGAATTCTGATTACATGAAATGCTGTGTTTGATCTTTGGGCCCAATTCACTGTTCTTTGGCAAATAAGAACTATTTGCATTCCAAGGCAGATGACGATTTCTGTGAAAGGAGCTTAGAGGTACAGCTGTTTCCTTCTGTTCAGTCAAGTGCCAGTTTCATAAAGTGCACCTCTGCCCTATCAGCTTTGGGGGAAGGGTGGCATATGGGGAGGAAGGGATCATTGAGAATACAGGGTGAAAAAGAACGACGTTACTGAAGGTAGACATTGCTAGTGCAAGGTACGGAATCCATGTGCAAAAGGTGGCTGGAACAAATGTTCAGATAAGGTGCGATTTGCCAACAGGAGCAGAGAACTCTGACACCAGATCTCAGATGAGGCCAAGGAAATGCGCGGGGCACATACAGAGAGGACGACCTGCAGCCCTCCAATGGCCACGTCATTCCACCGGGGAACTTGTTTGGAGTTTTGGCACCGTGGGCTAACCGAGCACTCTTCTGACATATTCTTACAACTGGAAATGCTTTGTTGGTCCCCATGTTCCTTGACTTTCTCTAGGGCCATAAAGGCAACATCTTCTATTGCAGGTCCTCAAACATTCCAAGGAAAACACTGCTTCACCTCCTGCAGACAGCTCATTTCCCAGAAGCCTCTACAGAAGCCCGTCCTCCCTGGGACAGCAGGGGCAGGGGTTTGCAAGATAAAGGAGGGTCAGCTAAGGACATGAAGCCTGCAGAAAAGGCTATCAGATGGCGCCTGAACTTAAGGTGGGAGGCCCCCTTCTAGAAGGCATCCCGGGAGCATCCAACAGCAATGTGGCACTTAGGGCTGTGGGACAAACAAGTGGAAGAGTCTTTTGGAGACGTGGACCCTTTTCCCATGCTACTCACAGTGAAGCAAAATGCGACAAAAGCATCCACACACGGTGACTTAGTAAAGCAAGCACCGTCGGGGTGCTACTTTCATGACAGCATATGGTCAAGCTATAAAGGTGTGCATCGATCAGTCCTGTGAAAATAGAAGCTTAGTTATTAGCATGTATTGAGGCAACTTGTACTTTGATTCTTGTGTCTTCTTCACATGTGTGAATGACTGCTATGGGACAGAACATATGGTTAAAAACAGGAGCGACAGCAACATAACACACAGGGTTGGCCGGCTCCATTACGGGTAAGACTCAGAGGCTGCTCCAGGTGTGTCCGGGGAAGCCAGGCCCTCACACTGCACAGCTTACAGGGCCCTGGGGTGGGGGCTGTGAGCTGGCAGCCTAGAGGACACAGCTCACCTGCACATGGTCTCTGAAAGTGTTCAAATTGGTTGCCAACATTTATAAATGGAGAGATGGCACCAAAAAACATCTAGGTTTCTTGTCTCTTGAAAAATCAAAGCTGTGGCCACCCTAGGCCCACTTTTCCACATGGCAACAGGCGTGGAGCTGGGGGCTACTGCCCCTACTGTGTAGGCGGTGGGCTCCCCATAGTCTCCTCTGCCCTGCTGCCGTGTACCTGGCTCCCTTCACTCATCCACATCACCGGCCCTAGGCCAGGGTCTGAACCACACACACAGAATGGCTGCAGTAAGCAGGAACGGGAAGAGCTTTCACATTCAGAACAAGAAGGGGCTTTTGAGTAACTAAAAAACAATCTGAGCATGTTCCAGCACTTCAACCTTACTCTTTCAGAGCTTTGGGGTAGCAGGCAGCCAGCTAGAGCACACTCTCTAAGGAACTCTTGAAAGTTGATGTCTAATTTTTAAGTACTCATGAGGTGATGGAGGAGAAACTAACTCAGATGACTGCGATACGATACATCTTTCCTTATAAGAAGTCCTTAAAGATGATGAAAAATGTGAAGCAACTCATGTGAGAAAGCTGTAAGTGGTCAGAGAAGCAAGCTGACTTTTGGATGAAGGGTACAACACAGTGTCAGGGAGTAGGTGATTTCTTTTCCCTATAGTTCATGGTAGTGATACCTAAATGGGTGGCACAAAATGAGTTCTGGCTTGTTAGACTGATGCTTCTCTTTGCTGCAGGTTTTGAACAAACTGTCTGGCTTACAGGGGTGAGGGAGAGCACCTGACAATGGGTGGTGATGTGCGTGGAGCTCCTACCCTGAACATGGCTTCATGAGATGTCCTGTGGTGGGTCAATGCTTTATCTCATTCCATGGAGCCTTCAAGATGACAAGAAAACATCAAGAGATAGGAGCTTGAGATAACAACATTAAATAACAGAACATGTAACAGGGTAAAACACTGAGAAGAAATGAACCAATTCATTGTTTCCTCCCAAGAGAGACTGTGACACTAGTTTTAAAAAGCGGCAAAGTCCTTTCTCTACATACATGCTTGGAGATACCCCAAACTTAGAGATTATGAAGTAGGCCAGGAAATTCACTTATTGCACGATGCTTGGCAGGGAACAAATGACGCTGATTTTTTCTTTTTTAACTGAACTCTCTCAAGAAAATGTTTTATGAAAAATTTCATTTATAGTTTCAGCCATAGGCAGGGAGTTTTAAGGGATGGAAAAGTTTTCACAAACTTTAGACAATGAAACTATACTTTTGGATGTATGTGATCAACTCAACAGTTGTTGACAACACAACCGAACATCAGAAACTAAACCAGCAAATAGGCACAAAATAAGGCAAGTGGGTTAAATAGTTGAAAATTGGTTAGAAAACATGCAAAAATAATACTGAGTTTTCTTTTAAAAAGTTTTAAACCGTCATTAAATGTTTCTTTTTGTAGAAATCTGAAGAGTTCTGCGTCTGAATTTGAAATTGGACTTTATAAAGCCTAGAAAACAGAGGAGGCGGTGCCCTGCCCTTGTCAGTTGTTGTTCTCTTTGGTGGTGATGGTAACCAGCTGCTTGGCAGCCTTGGCGATGTCGTACGCACACTGGATGACCTGCTGCGTGACCAGCTGAACGTCTGTGGGTGAGCCGGGGTCCCCTGGGAGGGTCTTCTTGCACTCTGACTGCAGTCGGTAGGCACTGGACGTCAGTAAACGAAGGGAAGTCCTCACCATATCAGACTTGGGTTTCTAAAAGGAAAAAGACAGCCGTTTACCCTGAACTGCAGGGCAGACATCCAAAAGCAGGGGACAAACATTCTTCTAAAGCAAACCAAGCTGCTCCCCAGAGTGAAAGGCGGTTTGGTCCTGCCCTTTCTCAAAGGGGTGCTTCACACACTCCAAGCTTTGCAGCCCACAGCGTAAGAGATGCTGAAATATTCTGATTCAAAGGTCAAAGTGCATGCAGGGTAATTTTAGTAGTATGTGGTATTTTGAAGTAGTTTTTGAAAAATATTAATCCATGTGGGTAAAATATTCCAGAAAATCCTATAAATTTTAAAATGTGCCTTTTAGCACGACTTGTATATCCTTGTCTTATTAAATCAACATTCATGCAGAACAAAAATATTTCAAAGCTCTATACGACTGCATATTTTATTTTATTTTACTTTTTTTTGAGACTTGAGTTTCACTCTTGTTGCCCAGGCTGGAGCGCAATGGCACGATCTTGACTCACTGCAACCTCCGCCTCCTGGGTTCAAGCGATTCTCCTGCTTCAGCCTCCTGAGTAGCTGGGATTACAGGCATGCACCACCACGCCTGACTAATTTTGTATTTTTAGTAGAGACAGGGTCTCTCCATGTTGGTCAGGCTGGCCTCGAACTCCCGACCTCAGGTGATCTGCCTGTCTCGGCCTCCCAAAGTGCTGGGGTTACAGGCGTGAGCCACCACACCCGGCCTCGACTGCATATTTTAAAACTGCATGTGCTACAAAAAAGCTAATGTAATATATAGGTCATAAAGAAATTTCTTGCTGTTCATTTAAAAGGATTTAAACCAAGTGAGTAGGAAGTGACTTACTTTGGGGAATAATGCTGCCATTTCTGTAACAGCTACGTGTATCCTCTCTGAGCAGGGAATATAACTGCAAGAATATTGAAGAAGTTATTCAATGACAGTAAAAATGATTCGGAGGCAAAGAGGACTCAAGTGCTAGAACAGATTCTGTTTACATTCCCTTCATGAAGGGGCTAGGGCTGCAGTCAGCCGTGCATCCCACACCACCAGAGGGCACATGGTTATAAAGCAGGACTCTCATTGCTTCCTAAAAGTTCAATCTGATGAAAAGTCTCCAGGTATGAAATATGGCAACATACACTCTTGGTCAGGTGAGGCCACACAACAGTACAGAAACATAATTCACCCCTCCTCACGTCAGTCATTTACTTCTCATGTGTTTCATCGTCCCAATTTCTAGAAAGAGAAAGGATTTCCATGCAAAAGGCCACAGAAGTGAAAAATAAAGGACTGAAAAAATTCCTTAAAATTAGAATTGGAGTCTCTCAAGTAGCTGGAACTTCAGGCATGCACCGCCATGCCTGGCTGATTTTTAAATATTTTTTTGTAGAGGAGTCCCACTATGTCGCCCAGCCTTGTGTTGAACTCCTGGATTCAAGTGAATCTCTTGCCTCAGCCTCCAAAGTGCTGGGGTTACAGGTGTGAGCCACGGTGTCCAGCCCTTTCCCCATTTTTTAAACCATGAAGTTGGCTTCTGAATAGATTGTCATAAGCAACTTATGCACTTCACCTTTGTAACAAGTCTAGTTTCAAAACTATTATAATTAAAACTGTCGGCCGGGCGCAGTGGCTCACGCCTGTAATCCCAGCACTTTGGGAGGCCAAAGCGGGCGGATCACCTGAGGTCAGGAGTTTGAGACCAGCCTGAACGACATGGTGAAATCCCGTCTCTACTAAAAATACAAAAAAATTAGCTGGGCATTGTGGCGCATGCCTGTAATCCCAGCTACTCAGGAGGCTGAAGCAGGAGAATCGCTTGAACCCGGGAGGCAGAGGTTGCAGTGAGCCAAGATTGTGCCACTGCACTCCAGCCTAGGGGATAAAAGCGAGATTCCGTCTAAAAAAAAAAAAAGACTGCCTACATTTTAAATTAAACCATTACATTTCAAGAAAATGGTTTATAGTATCCAAAAATGCCTTCATTGGAAATCCTGACTTCTACCTTTGTGAGCAATTAGAATCACAAACCATTTAATAACAAAAATTCCAACATATATGGAGTTATTTAACTTGTAAATATGAAGGGGCAACAACCTATCTGGTCACACAGATTTCAGAAAGAGAAAAAAGCAATGTCCACAGCCGTCACATGTATCATGCATACTAATAAACTGTGTGTCTGTTAATATCACAGTGACTGAGAACCACACTGAAGTTTTTTTTTTGAGATGGAGTCTCGCTCTGTCGCTCAGGCTGGAGTGCAGTGGTGCAATCTCGGCTCACTGCAACCTCCGCCTCCTGGCTTCTCCGCCTCCCGGCTTCAAGCAATTCTCCTGCCTCAGCCTCTCGAGTAGCTGGGATTACAGGTTTGCACCACCACACCCGGCTAATTTTTGTATTTTTAGTAGAGATGGGGTTTCACCATGTTGGTCAGGCTGGTCTTGAACTCCTGACTGATCCACCCGCCTTGGCCTCCCAAAGTGTTGGGATTACAGGCGTGAGCCACCGCGCCCAGCCAGTGAAGAGTTTTATATTTTGTTGTTTATGGTTTCATTTTTGAGAAATACGATTCACCCTTTCCTCCTGCTACACAGAGAAGGAATCTTTCCTAAGGCCATCTCTCAAAAGCTCACTCATTATGAACTATTTGGGGAAGTCCTCCACACGATAGAAAAGCGAGCACACCCGGATTAATGAGGAAGCCCTCCTCCTCTAACAGGAGTCCATATTCACAACTTCACATTGGTATCTTTCCTCAAAAAGGTTTTCGTGCATAATATGTCATAATCCCTGAATTGTATGTGTGCCTGTGTGAGGGCAGGAGTGAGGCTGGAGGCCCAGGAGACAAGACCAGACTTCAGGAAGGTCAGGGGCTGGGGTTGCTTACATGGATCAAGAGGAGAAAACAAGAGAAAAAGGCATGGGTTTAATTCGTACAATTCAAGATGATAAATAAAAGCATCTTGAATTTTAATATAGGATTGAACAATTTATGAAATATAAATTCTCTAGACCAATTATGGTTTTAAACCAAAAGAATGAGCTAATGATTAAAATCTCTGCATCATTCTCTCATGGTCTTAAAAAAAAAAAAAAGGAAATCAGATCATTATATGTGTTGTTGAATGGATTTGTAAATTTTAAACAAAGAAAGAAAAAAAAAAGAAATTTCCCAAATTGTACCAAGCACCATATTGCATCTTTGAAGTAGAAATGGCCTCAGGGCAGATATTTGTATTTTTGACAAAGACAGCAATATAAGGCAAGCACATTTTAGTTTGAAATACAAGCACAGCACTTCTGAACTAGAGGAAATGAAAAGCGAAGCACATTGACAAATGGGGTCACGGTGCTCGGGAAGAAAGTGTTATTGAATCATGATTACATTAAACGCTGTCAAAAACTTTGGCCAAGCACGGTGGCTCACGCCTGTAATCTCAGCACTTTGAGAGGCTGAGGCGGGTAGATCACTTGAGATCAGGAGTTCGAGACCAGCCTGGCCAACATGGTGAAACTCTGTCTCTACTAAAAATACAAAAAAATTAGCTGGGCATGGTGGCATGCACCTGTAATCCCAGCTACTTGGGAAGCTGAGGCAGGAGGATCGCTTGAGCCAAGGAGGCGGAAGTTGCAGTGAGCAAGATCGTGCCACTGCTCTCCAGCCTGGGTGACAGAGCAAGACTCTGTCTCAAAAAAAAAAAAAAAAGCTCTGTACTTTGGAAAGCCATGGGACACTTTGCTTTCTGTAATCAAATATGAAGTCACTCACTGCCAAGACTATGGTCCTGAGCAAAGTGAGTGTGCTTGTAACCCGTGGGGTCCCAAAGGCATGGTATGAAGAGAATGCCTGGGAAAGGAGGGAGGAGGAAGCCAAATAATTAGACAGTTTTTATCGAAGGAGGCTTAAAAGTTATGCATGTTTCTCTTTTTCTCTGAGGAGCTTCCAGCAGTCCCTCCAGAAGACTAACTCTTATCTTTCAATAAACATGGATTATTCCCTTCTTTCCTAGTGGGAAATAAGGACACTGGGAGATGTGTGAGCCATATAAAAAAGGGTACAGAAAAGGGAGGTTGGCCCAGTAGTGCCAGGACTACAAAAGGGAATACAAAGGCCCAGATGCATGTTTGTGTGGAAGAAGAAAACAGAGAGAAGAGTAAACAGCACAGCATCCCTTGAATACTTTTTGCTCGTGCAAGGCGTGAAGAAAGTTCTTCACTGAAGTCCTAAACTTTGCTGACCTAATGAAAAGAATGAGATTTTTCTTGGGTTTGACTGAACTCTGCTGGTTTAGCTAATGTTTTATGAGTGTCTACATCCTGCCAACCATGGGAAGCTAGGATGTTACCCCAAGCAGTTCGCAACTCACCGGAAGTTCTCAGAGAATTCACTCTCAAAGAACAAAAGGCTAAGTTGGAGCAAGAGCCAGTCCCTTCCTCAGGGTAAGAATTAACCACAGGACGTGCTTCTAGTCAGAGTAAACAGCCTCCCCTCTCAAGTGCAGAGATGGACTTGGGTGATGATGAGATCAACTTTATTTATTTTGAGACAGTTTCGCTATTGTTGCCCAGGCTGGAGTGCAGTGGCATGATCTTGGCTCGCTGCAACCTCCGCCTCCAGGGTTCCAGAAATTCTCCTGCCTCAGCCTTCTGAATAGCTGGGACTACAGGCACATGCCACCATGCTCAGCTAATTTTTGTGTTTTTCATAGACACAGGGTTTCACCATATTGGTCAGACTGGTCTCGAACTCCTGACCTCAGGTGATCCACCTGCTTCGGCCTCCCAAAGTGCCGGGATTACAGGTGTGAGCCACTGTGCCCAGCCCAGGATACCTTTTGTGTCAGCGGCCTTGTCCTTAGCCAGGCCAGGGTATAGCCATGGCCAGAAGCGAGGTGTAAGGTAGCCCCTGTCCCCCTCCTAGAACTAGCATTGTCACCACCCTAACTATGCCGCAATCCTGTTTCTAGAGGCATTTATTTTCGGAGCTTCGTAACAAGATGAAAAAAAAGAAAATACCATGTAAATCAAACAAGACAAAGCAAACCAAAACTGACATTGTTCTTAAGCCTGTTATGTAGACTTGTTTTCAATGACCTTGAAGTCAGCATGCTGGGAATAGCTGCCATTAGGAACATGGGCATCATCCCTTTCTGGGCGCATAACTCATGCTCTCCCAAAGCAGGGTCTTCAATCCTGCTTACCTGTCATGTTTATTTTCTTGGGCTGCTCTTAAGAGCTCCTGTATGTTTTTGGTGATCTGTTCAGTCTTCCTGATGACATCTTCGGTGCTAGGGAGAGTGGGGCTTGGGGCCACATGGGGTTCTGCTGTGTCTGGTACCAAGCCATCCCCTGGCCACACCATACTTCTTTGCCGTCCCTTTCGGCTTGACCTGTGAACATTAAAGATGCAGTTAAATACAGCAGGTGCTTATCAGCTGCCCCTCTGCTTCTAGGAGCCACTTTGTATGCACTGGCTAAATGCATGAGCAGGCTGGTCTCGTCATTTCCTTTATCCTGTCTAGCAGGAGACTCATGGTAAGGCTCTAAAATCGGCTATTTCACTCTACCATAGGGCTGGAAGTGTTGACTCTCACAGGAAGGGTGAAGGAGGGGAAAAGGGAGGGAAATACCTGGAGCGGGGAGGGTGTTTGTTTATAAAGCCATCCTCAGGTGGGCCAACTCCTTGGGTACAAATGCAGAATGTAACCTAATGTTGTCTTCATGATGAAGTGGGGTAATGACTTTAAACACACTACAGACAGCTAGAGACACATAACATGCTGGTACAAAGAAAAAGGCCTTTCGGCAACAATGTGAGATGACAAGACATGTAAACTACGAGCGTATGCTTGAATACTTTAAGACTTTATGAGTCTGAAAATAGAGAAAAGGGGTGTGTGTGGTGAACTGCTTCTGCTGGCCCAGGCCTGCCAGGTCTCTGGCCCTGGGGAGCCCCTCCCCTGGCACGCTCGTCCTGTGCATGTACCCCATGCCATCTGGCTCCATGTCGTTGGGAGTGTTGTCGTAGTCACTCTCAGGTGTGCTGTTCTGCTTCTCCAGCCTGGATGCCTACAAGAAAGAAGAGGGACCCTCATGAGTTTGTAACATGAGACTCTTCTCAGGAGTCTTCCCCAGGAATTGTTACCTGTTAGGCTACTGGCCTTCACATCCCAAATCTCATTTGGGACAGGGGACAACTCTCTAGTGAAAATTTAGTAAAAGATGAATATTGGATCCAGAAATGGCCTCTTTCCTTCTTTGCACCATTTTCTTCTTAGCTCAGTGGCCACTTCCTAATCAGATCCTTAGTACAAACTAACAGACATGCAAGGCAACATATCCTCATTTAGTTCTCAAATTTATAACATAATGAGATGCAGTTAAAATACAGGCAGGGTGTGGTGGCTCACACCTGTAATCCCTGTATTTTGGGAGGCTGAGGCAGGACGATTGCTTAAGGCTAGGAGTTTGAGACCAGCCTGGGCAACATTTAAAAAATAAATAAAATAAATAAATAAATAAATAAATAAATAAATAAATAAATAAATAAATCAGCCAGGCATGGTAGCATGAACCTGTAGTCCCAGCTCCTCAGGAGGCTGAGGGAGGACTGCTTGAGCCCAGGAGTTCAAGGTTGCATTGAGCCATGGTCGCACCACTGTACTCCAGCCTGGGAAACAGAGTAAGATAAGACCCTGTCTCAGAAACAAACAAACAAAAAAACATGCCAGCACTTATATGACCACAGACCTTCAGCACTGGAAGCCACCTTCAGATTATCTCATTGAGCCCCATATGAGAAAATGAAGGGCCAAAAAAGCTGGGTGGCCCACCAAAGGCCACAAAGTCTGCAGAAAAACAGGACCAAGCACCAGGTCTCCTGCCTCCTGCTACCTCCAATATTTCATGCCTGGGCTCAAATCTACCCCTTAAAATGTAAAGATTTGGTGCAACTGTGGTGATCAAAAATGGGATACAGATTCAAAAGAGGAATCCTAAAAATGTTTTGAACAAATGGCAGCACTGCTAAACACACGATCTTCTAGGGTGACGAAATTTGAAGGGGACTTTATTCCTTCGAAGGGGACTATGTTCTGAGTATTTCATGAACATTATTTTCCCTATTTATTTCACCCATAATGCTTGAGAACTTCTCTGGAACAGAGATCAGTGGAGGCTAATTTAAAACCTAAACCACTTACCTTATAAAATATAAGTGTGAGCTATTTCTAGCTTTACTCCTTGAATTTCATCCAAGTTAATCAAAACATGGGACTAAGGAGTTTTATTGATGCTGCAATAAAATGTGGCTAAGGACACAGATGTAAACTAAGAGCTTTGTTTAAACATATGGAAACCCTGTAGCTTCATCCAAAAGAGTGGCTACTTTTGAGTAAGTTGGTTTAAGAAGGTCTACATGGCCAGGTGCGGTGGCTCACACCCATAATCCCAGCATGTTGGGAGGCAGAGGTGGGCAGATCACTTGAGGTCAGGAATTTGAGGCCAGCCTAGGCAACATGGTGAAACGTCATCGCTACTAAAAGTACAAAAATTAGCTGGGTGTGGTAGTGCACACCTGCAGTTCAGCTACTCGGGAGGCTGAGGTGAGATGATCTCTTGAGCCTAGGAGGCGGAGGTTGCAGTGAGATGAGATCGTACTACTGCACTCCAGCCTGGGTGACAGAGCTAGACCCTAACTCAAAAAACAAAACAAAACAAAACAAAACAAAACCAAAAAGAAAAAAAAAAAAAAACCCCACAAAACTCTACATAAAGCCTGTCACTCCTTACTGATAACACCTGGTGGGTACAGGCAAGGCAGCCGGACCCACGTGGAGAAGCCCCCCTTATTCACACCACACTTTGTTTGCTATCCCCATACACTCTTCTGCTCCCAGGGCGCATGTTCTCTCCTCTGTCGGCTGAGGTCTTCCATCCACACCTCCACGCATGCTGTTTAGTTCCCAGCTGCTCAAATACAAGACACTTGCTGTGGGCTCCTAAAATTCACTATGAACTCGTGCATCCTGAAGCCACTCAAATCCATCTGGCAAATGATTAAACGTTAGCTTGGAGCCATATGGGGAGTCTGTAAAGCTAATTTCTGTAGAATCGACAACTTTGATGATCCCTTTGTTTATATCTCCTATCAATAAGTAGTTCTGCTTCTCTTGCTGCCTTGTTTTGATCTGGCTTTATGAACAGTCAGTGAGTTTGGCTGCTAGAAGTTTATAGCAGGAAGATCATGGGCAAGCACTGTGGTCTTCCAGAGATGAGCTTAGAAAATGAAAAAGAAAGAAGAAAAACCCAAAACCCTTCTTATCTTTCACAGGGAATGCCTAACTTTTTTCTTTTTTTTTTTTGAGATTGAGTTTCACTCTTGTTGCCTGTGGAGTGCAATGGCATAAGCTAGGCTCACTGCAACCTCCGCCTCCCAGGTTCAAGCAATTCTCCTGCCTCGGCCCCCTGAGTAGCTGGGATTACAGGCATGCACCACCATACCGAGCTAATTTTGTATTTTTAGTAGAGATGGGGTTTCACTATGTTGGTTAGGCTGGTCTCAAACTCCTGACCTCAGGTGATTTTCCCGCCTCAGCCTCCAAAAGTGCTGAGATTATAGGTGTGAGCCACCGCACCCTGCCAATTTTTTTTCTTTTTTTTTTTTGAGACAGGGTCTCACTCTGTCGCCTAGGCTAAGTGCAGTGGTACAATCTCGGCTCACTGCAGCCTCGACCTCCCAGACTCAAGCGATTCTCCCACCTCAGCTTCCTGAGCAGCTGGGACCACAGGCCCGTGCCACCACGCTTGGCTAATTTTGTACTTTTTTGTGGAGACAAGGTCTCACTATGTTGCCCAGCCTGGTCTTGAACTCCTGAGCTCAAGTGATCCTCCAACTTTGGCCTCCCAAAGTGCTGGGATTATAGGTGTTAGCCACCACACCTGGCCCCAACTAACTTTTAAGTTTTATTTTGGTTTTTATATATACACCCACACAGAGGTGTGTGTGTGTATACATATACACATATATGAATAGATAAAAACTTGCATTTACGTAATTATACTGAAAAATTTGCCCAGAGCTGCTCCAGTGGAAAACAAACTAGAAACAGAATTAAACCCAGAAAATTCTACATTTTTATAATGAATCTTTTTTATTTATTTATCTGGAGACAGAGTCTTGCTCTGTCGCCCAGGCTGGAGTGCAGTGGTGCAATCCTGGATCACTGTAACTTCTGCCTCGGCCTCCCAGGTTCAAGTGATTCTCCTGCCTAAGCCTCCCAAGTAGCTGGGACTACAGGCACCCACCGCCACACCTGGCTAATTTTTTGTATTTTAATAGAGACAGGGTTTCACTGTGTTGCTCAGGATGGTCTCAAACTACCGAGCTCAGGCAATCTACCTGCCTCGGCTTCCCAAAGTGCTAGGATTAGAGGCGTGAGCCACCATGTCTGGCCTTTATAATGAATCTTTTTGCCTTCCCTGATGAAAATGTGATAAATCGCAAATCAAATGCATTACCCTCAATGATGAAAAGTACCAAGTTTCATTTAAACATTTTAGAAGAGTAGTGACTCATATACCTAATAAATGCATTTGGTAAATGTTTTTTCAAGTATGGAAAACAACATATAGCAGCAACCACCCAGGAAATCAGTTACTTACACGTTAGTTAAGTCCTTCCATCGTTGTCAACAAAAGCATATGTACAGAATTTCAGTGTAGCCAGCATTTAATTGTATCAAAAATATTATAAGCATGCAGAGCCAAAAGCTATTGGTTAAGAGTGCTGCTCTCTCAAAGCTGTTAATAGGAAGGTTACCTTATAGCTGGTGCTGGTTCAATGTATTTAATAGGTTTGCAGTTTTCTCTGAATAAAGACACGCCATAAAAATCTAAACTCATGATGAAGCTGTCAGGAACAATCAGGGTGATCAGTTTAAATGATTTTTGTACAAAACTCTGTCTCAGCAAGCAGTCCTTGCAATGATTTTTAAGGCTACCATACAAATTAAAAAACAAAAATTTCACAGTAGACAAAAGAGGTTTGACTTACAAAATTTCTAATGAGATATTTAATCACTGTCTAACTGTCCTTTAGTTGTATCTGGGCTATTTTAATGAAACATTACAGTTCAATTTCAGAACTGCTCAGGAGACTTTTTTTTTTTAAGACAATCTCACTCTGTCGCCCAGGCTGGAGTGCAGTGGTGCAATCTCGGCTTACTGCAACCTCCACTTCCCAGGTTCAAGGGATTCTTGATTCTCGTGCCTCAGCCTTCCAAGTATCTGGGATTACAGGCATGCGCCACCACCCGCCGCTAATTTTTGTATTTTTAGTAGAGACAGGTTTTGCCATGTTGGCCAGGCTGGTCTCAAATTCCTGGGCTCAAGTGATCCACCCACCTTGGCCTTCCAAAGTGCTGGGATTACAGGCATGAGCCACTGCACCCAGCCGAGACTTTAAGTACAATGTATCAAGAATTCTTTTTTTTTTTTTTTAGTACAGTAATTCCTTTTTTTTTTTTGAGACAGGGCCTCACTGTGTTGTCCAGGCTGGAGTGCAATGGCACAATCATGGCTCACTGCAGCCTCGATCTCTCATGGTGGGCTCAAGTGATCCTCCCATCTCAGCCTCCCAAGCACCTGGGACTACAGGTGCACATCAACACACCCGGATAATTTTTTATATTTTTTATAGAGATGGGATTTCGCCATGTTGCTGAGGCTGGTCTTGAACTCCTGGGCTCAAGCAATCCACCCGCCTAGGCCTCCCAAAGTGTGTGAGTCACTGCACTCGGCTGAGAATTCTTAATAGACTGAAAGTGAAGTGAAGAATTCCAAAAGGGTCAGGGCATGGTGGCGCATGCCTGTAGGCCCAGCTACTCAGAAGCCTGAAGTGGGAGGACTGCTTGAGCCCAGGAGTTTGAGGCTGCAGTACGCTATGACCATGCCTGTAAATAGCTATTGTACTACAGACTGGGCAACATGAGACTCTGTCTCTAAAAAATAAAAAATAAAAAAACGAATCCTGAAAGGGCCTTGGTAATCCATATGCCACTGGAACTAGGAAAGAAAGGCTCTCCATAATTCCTAGGTGTGGAGGGAATGGCAAAGGCCCAGTGCAAACCCCACCTTGCCTGTAAAGGTGGTCCCTTACCCACAGCCACCTTCCTCCTCTTACCTTACATTACCCTTCCATTAAAAAAGAGATGGAGCCAGAACTGGGACGTGGATTTCAAAGCCTATGCCCTTTCCACGGCTTTCCCAGGTTGTGGTCATGTACCACTCTTTATGCATGAAAGTATTTTTTAATTGACAGTGCCTTTGGGAGCAGGGGCTGTGCCAGCTAAGTCCTTAGGACCCTTTCATTGACTTACCCAAACGCTGTGTATGGAGGAGGTGCTTAATACTTACTGCCTGACTACTCTAAAAGAGGCTTACCTGAATCATGCACTGCTATTGAGACCATAAATTATACACCAGTAGGTGAGGTTTAACCAACCCGTACAAGTGAACAGCTTTAGGTTAACAGCTGCTTGCATAGCTCCAATGCCACAAGGTGTTACAATTCTGATTCAAGATGCAGGGACTTGTAAACCTTGGTTTGTCAGCACTTGTGGTGCTGACATAAAATGTGTCACAGGTTAAAAAAAAAAAAAAAGGCATGACATTTTAGTACTTCAGCGAGTCCACATACAGCAGTTTCAATCTGACAACTGTAGCCCTGAACAAATTGAACAAATTTGGCCTATTATAATATCTAACCAGCAGCCAGCTAATTTTCTCGTTGTTTAAAAAAACAGTTTGCTCAGAATAAATGCTGTAGGGTGATTTGCAAACTTTGTTAAATATGACGTGAACATGAGCAGTATGGGGTTAGAGAAAGGGAGGCGCCCTCGATGGGTGAGCGTGCATGTGGACGAGTGTGAGCCTGATGCACTGTGAGAAACCAGGAGGAAGTGCTGCCTCATGCAGGACGGAAGGGCAGTTAGCAGGGACAGGAGGGCCAGAGCCCAAGCACAAAGCGCCCAGGAGCACGGCCCCTCCTCCAGAGAGCAGACCATTCAGAATGTACTTAACCCTTCGGGCGCTTTCGTCCCTCGACCAGGAAAGTGTGGAGGGGAAGGAAGGCAGAGATGAAGAGGAGGTCACAAGTGCACTCCTCCCGATCTGGAATGGGAAAGAGAAACACACTCGGGAAAATACAAAACAAACCAAAAACCTACCACCTTGCCAGCTTCAGTAAAAGAATCCTGGAACACCACACATTATGTGACGTGAGTGCTGCAATCTCAGTGGCCACCAGTGACAGGACCCCAGAGATGCTTAAACCCTTGGTGAAACACCTCCTGGAAATTACTCTGAATTTAATAAGGCTGCTTTTCCATAAGGGAAATACCTAACATAATTTGTCAAACTTGTCAATAATTTTTTAATGGATACTATGAAATGCATATTTGTTTTTCAATCAGGACTGATGTGAAATGAGAAACTATAAAAATGATTCTAAGTTGCTATACACTATCAATCTAATTTTTAGTACAATTACAGTGCCTTCCTGATATATCTTTATATTCTAATTTTTTCTAAAATAAGAAAGTACACTGAAAAATAACAAAGTTGCTTTTCCTAAATTTTGTCTTCAGCTATACAAAAATAAGATTCTTAACTTAGGGTGGGCATGGTAGCTCACACCTGTAATCCTAGCACTTTGGGAGGCTGAGGCGGGCGGATTGCCTGAGCTCAGGAGTTTGAGACCAGCCTGGGCAACATGATGAAACCCCGTCTCTACTAAAACAAAAAAATTAGCCAGGCACAGGACCATGTGCCTGTAGTCCCAGCTACTCAGGAGGCTGAGGCAGGAGAACTGCTTGAACCCAGGAGGTAAAGGTTGCAGTGAGCTGAGATCACACCACTGCACTCCAGCCTGGGTGACAGAGCGAGACTCCATCTCAAAAAAAAAAGATTCTTAACTTAGTTCAGTGGCATTCCCATTACATCAAATGTATCAAATCAATTGCCTTAGAATGTTAAACCCAAATATCTTAAAAAGAATCTGAGATAACAGACTCCCAATTATAGTAAAACAATATTGTAATTTTACCACACTGAAAATTGACAAAATTAAACTAGGGTTTAATTCACGAAACCATGTCCTTGCTTTGCATCTACCTTGAGAATTTTTTTGGAAACTCCCATAAAATTTGACTGAAGAAATAATAAACTTTGACACTCAAAAAGACAAATACTACTCTCTGAAAAAGCATCCCATGAAAAAGTTTAAATGTAACATCTTGGCAAAACACATATTTTTATAATAAAGTAATCCAGAAGAAATATATTTGAAAACCTTATAACACAGTATGTATCCCAATGCAAAATAAGATTGTAAGAACCCTGCTGCAGAACACAATCTCTGGAATTCAGCGCTTCTAAGACTGATGTAGAGTATTACATTTCCTTTTCTGAGACAACAAAGCCACACTTCCCCCACCACGGTGGGAGGAGCAGGATGCAGAAGCGAACCTAGCAGGCACACTGAGCACACATGGAGAGGCTGCGGAAGCCTGGAGCCTTCCAGCCTTGCCTGGGTACCTGGGCCACAGACTCAAGGCCACCTGCTTGAGGAGGAGCTGAAAAGACGTCTTGGATTCTAAGGGCTCCAGTACTTAAAGGGGCACATCCCTGTCTAGCTCCAAGAAGGCAACACTTCCTTCTGAGAGTGAACTTTATGATTTATTTTTGTTTTTGGAAGTAGAGAAGGAAGGAAGCTTTACCAAAAAAAGTTCCAACACTGGCTGGTTGAGAAATAATCATGGATGTGGGGGAGAAAAAAGCAGCAGTTCGGGCAAGAGCCAGAATCCCCAACTTGGTTAGGAAACCATCAGCCCATGGCCCTGTGTGCTTGTGGGAATATCGCAAGCATCTGTGGACATGTTAATACAGCAAACACAATGGTAACTCTCTTAGTCCAATTTGGCAAAGCAGAGCTGTGGGGACCTGTAGGTTCAGAAGAGGGAACAGAGTAGACAGGCTGCATAGAGTGAACAGCAGAAGCGCCAGTGGTGTTACTTACGTGCGCGGGGAAGGGCTGGAGTCTCATCCTGCTCTCTTCGGGGCGGCTCGCTTCTCCCATTGGGAGATATGGTTTCTGACCTGATCCGGTCTCGTACATGGACATGGGCCTACTGCCCCGGGCAGACGGACGTCTCTTTAAGGAAGAGTGGTTGGAAGTGTCTGTGTACTCAGAACCAGTTTGCACCTGATATACATTGGTTGTGGCCTGTTTCCTGAGGTTCGAATTTTCACTCTGGAGTGTTTGAAGCTGAAAGAAATGTTTGGCAGTGGGACTGTGTTTTTTTACAGCAAGCAGAAAAAGCAAACACCAAGTAAATGAATACAACTACCAGTTTTAAACAATAAGGACAGTAACAGCTAGCCGGGCTGAAAGTAAAAAGCCAATACAAACAAGGACCCTTTCTTCTGGATTGGGTGAAACACAATCAACTCCCTTCATCACGTAAGCAAATTAAATAGCTTCATTTCTGAATGTGGAAAAGTTGTGGTTTGGACTTCCTCAAAACAAAATGTCTAACCACTTTAAAATTTGTCATGGTGGGGCTGGGAAATGTTTGCAGGCAAGCTGTACACTGGATTATTACTAAGGCTGTTTCAAGCAAGAGTTCGAGATCATTAAAACATCATTTAGGTAACTTGCTTTTCAAATGAGCCCTGAGCAATTTGTAAAGGCCAAAAATGACAGCAGACACCATGGAAGCAGCACAAAGATGACTAGGGTTGCTTTGCAAAGCAAGAAAGACAGAAGTTCAGCTTGTGAAAAATCAGATCGCCTATTGCTTTCCAAAAAGCCAACAAGAAAAATTATGATCAACAAGTTTTTATTACATAATACTCTTGATATTCCAAACAATTCAGCACTTTGTAAAAAAAAAAAGAAAAAAGAGAAAACCGGATCATGGTAAGTTTGCTATATTAACATATCACGAAGAAAACTGGAAACCTATTGATCTATGGAATTGACATCTTCGCATGGATGCTCCACGCAGCACGCTTGCTTCCGTCTGGTGAGTGATCATCTTTCGGCCAGGGCTGGAATATTTGGCCTTTCTCTCCTTTGGCTTTGTCACCCAAAAAACACGACCTCAGTGGTGTCAGCTTTGAACATGCTAATCTGCCTGGCACCACCCCATTTTAGAGACTGTCACTTGGAGGCCCTGAATGCTCCTTCCATTCCTCACATGCAGGCTGCTCCATGGTGCTGGATGGATTAGAGTTAAGGGGTCAGCAGGGAATCGTGTTACTCTTTGGCATCTGGCATTTTAAACACCATTCACCACGTCCATTCTGCGCAGGGTCCTTCCCTTCTGGTGCGCCTTCATCTTCCATGGACATTCTATAAGCTGGGTGTGGTGTGAGTTCAGCTGTCTACTCTTTGACAGAGATTGTAAAATCTGACCAAATTCCCCACCAGTGCCAAGGTTTAAGTCCACAAGCAACTGTTTGCACCAGAAGATCATTACTTTTTCAGTAGCAAACCCATTCAATGTTAGGAGTTACTTTCAATTTTTATTTAGAAAGCACCAATCTGTGAAAAATACACCAATAGTAGTTGCTCCTCTTCATTAATTAGCATCTTTTCCAAGCAACTGTTAAATGTGAAAGATCAGATACAAATCATGCTACTTTGTCAACTTTATGTATATTAAAAACTTTACCCAACTTTGAAATATAATCAATACATCTTTGCTAAATAAACAAATTCCATATACTTTATATTAATCATGCCAAACTGCTGTGAAAGTGTGACTTACTGCCTCTTCCACAAAAAGACCACTCATTCTGTTTCTCTGAAGAGCAAGCCATTACAGAATGATAGAATGCTTTTATATCACAAAGGCTGGCAGGGTATAGCTCATATCTGCAATTCCCTTTCCAGGGAAAGAACAGCTGCAAAGCAGCTGACAAAGCAGCCCTGAACATTTCTACATTCCAGGATACAGACAGGCATGAAGTGCCTGTTGAAACTATTCATTAGAGAACCCAGGGCCTAGAGTGAAATGGTCAAGGTTCAAGGACTGAGGTGTGTAACTGACACAGGTCCCTCAATGGGGCACTGGTGCATGTGATCACGTGTTTGTCTGTATAAAAAGCCTCTGTGGCAGTTATTTAGTTAAGGCCTTGAAATCTGAAACTTTATCCTAACACTTTTCATGCCTGGATTTTGTCTGAATGTGTTCTCATGAGCACAAGTTCTTGGTTTCAATTTTTAAAAATGTTAGTACTCTGTATTTAGAGAGATGTCTTCACATAAATTTTAATGACGTTTATCTTAATAAGAACCAGGCTACACTTTTTTATTTGGAAGGAGTATAAGGGAAAATAAAAAGTTATAGACAATTCAATAGTTTCAGAAATCAAAAGCACTTCTAAGAATTGATGAGATAATCAATAAGCAAAAGCAAATAATTTCACTTTGCATTTCTCAAAGAAGCTCAAGACATTTGCTTTCAGAGATAATGAGGCTCTCTCTGGTGATTTCCAAAAATACTAAAAGAAGCATTGTTAGATTTTAAAAGGTGATGTGCAGCAGATTGATTTACAGTGGCAAAATCAGCATGTTTCAGAAATAGTCACCTGGTCAAAATTATTAGTCCAATTAATGGAACAAACTATAATCCACTAAATAAAATATATTCCAAAGAAGGCAAAGAAAATACAGGTCCTGTATGTTATGACAAAGGGGCTCTCGGTCTGTCTCGTTTACAGCTGCACGGCAGCCCTAGACAGGGCTGGGAGACACAGAACAAGTGTCTGTTCGTTTAAGGCTAGCTGATCTTAAGCATTCTTCATTCCCTGCTACTATAGGCATTAGAGCCATTTATTTCAAAAAGTCTCAAAAATGCTCTAGAAGTCAACATCAAAAGAATCCTAGACCAAACCCCAGGCAAAAGTGCACAGCAATTTCCTTCCCTAGTAAACAGAGGGGCATGGGCCCCTTTTTAGTTCTTCCACCTTCCTTTAGGAAGCAGCACTGAAAAGAGTCCAGGCACACATGGAGTGTGCCACGTCCTCAGGTCTTGAAAATGATTTGAAAACCTTACTTCTCAAATGACAGCCTAAAGACATAGATTATATATTTCATTTTGTTTCTGGTTAAGTAAAGTGTCCAAATCTCATTTTAGAGCTGAATGATGAGTGATACCCACAAAGTCATGGGCAAAATTTGCAATTTTTCGAATTCCCTTATTTAGCCATCTCATAAGGAGTTGCATACACAATCCCCCTCCTACTAAGGGTATTCCTTGCTACCATCAACCACACTCCTTTTAGGGATTAATATATTCACACGGTTCTGATTCTCTCAAAAGGTAATGAATGAGAAAATGCTGAGCAAATGAGATTGTTTTTTACCAGTGTGCAGCTCTTCCTAGTACAAATGAAATGTTTTTTCTTATTTTTTGAGCACCTACTCTGTGGCAGGCCCTCCTGTAGGCTCTGGGGATAATACAAGTTAGTAGTAAAAACTGGTGAGCAATAAGGTGGGGATGTGGGATAGGGCTGCCAGGGTGGGAGCAGGGTTTGAATGCTGATAAACATGCCCCTGCCCAGGGCTCTCATTGGCTCTGTCTCCATGGTGTGATCATCCTTCCCTAGCAATGGGAAGAATCACATCCATGGAGCCCCATCCAGGTTTCCAGGAAGCACAGAATAGTCCAAGGGTTATTCTAATGGGCACAAATGCTTAAATAGATGTTAGGTTTCTCCTACCTGGGGAACTTACTCTGGATATATTTCATTTTAAATATCCAAATACATCCTGCTTCAAAAAGACAACTTGGCCCAAAGATTTCTAAGGCTGTTACAATAACTGTTTTTCTTTCCTCGGACCACATCACAGTGCCTGAGATTCTTCCTTGTACTATGGGATTAAAGCGTCAACCGTCCTGGCATTTATTAACATGTTACCTTTTTCTGCATAATTCTCAGCTCGTCACTCAAGTTGTTATTCACCTTCATTAGCTGCTGTATCTTGGCCTCAGAAGCCACTAGAGCGTTTTTGACCTCCATAAATTCCTGTACAGTGACTGGTCCATCTGATAAATCTGAATCTAGGCTCTAAAAATAAATTGGGAAAACGTTCACAATCTGAGATGACGAGAACATTAAAGACTAACAGCTCAAGAATTTCAAATTCTGACCAAGCCAGCTGAATTGCAAAGTTAGTCAAACCAAATCAAGGCCTCTGAGAGTAATGCAAAACTAAAACATAAAAGTAGGGTCACTATACTATTTAAAAAATTTGAAAGTCAGTATTTTCTAATAGAACAGGCAGTGAGGCTACACATCTATGCTGACAATGACTGTCTAAGGAGGTCTGTCCTGTCTTGTAAGCCTTTCTCTCGTTCACTCTTGTTTTGTTTTTATTCATTCTTTCATTAATTCATTCATTCCAACATTTTCATTGAACATTAGGCAGTGTTCTAGGTGCTTGGGATATATTAGAAAAGAGACAAAGATTCCTGCTTCCATGGTGTTTATATTCCAACAGCATGAGAGAGTATATATATTGCATGATTGAGGGTGATGAGTGCTGTGGGAAAAGATAAGACAGAGCAGGGTAGGGGGCTGCATGTTAAGCGGGGAGCTGGGGTAAGCCTGTGAGTGGGTGAGAGGTGAGCAGAGCCCCAGGAGGTGAGGGGATGAGTCACATGAATCTGGAGGAAGAACATTCCAGCCTGCAGTGGAGCTCAGCTAGAGGGAGCAGGTGTGTGGGATGGACTGGGCAGGAGGCCAGGCGGTTGACAGAGGGCCTGGTCACAGAGGGTCTTGGAATGACCTCGGCTCTCACTGAGTGAACCAGGTGGCTTCCGGGAAGTCTGCGCAGGGGTGTCCCCTGCATCTGCTAATGACGCCATCTTTCTCACAGTCATGTGGGCCGAAGAACTCCAAACAAATCTTCTATAAATCTGTCTCCCCACTTCAACCTTCCGACTTATTGCCAAGACTTTTCTATTCTACCTTCCTATTCATCCATTCTCAAATGATTGCCAAGCCCCTCTGTGGGTGTGTCCTGGGGGTCAGCAGAGGGTGCACAGCCTGGGGTCCTGCTGCCCTCTCCCCCAGCTCACACTCTGGTGCCGAGGTCTCTCCCACCCGCACCATCCTAGCATGGGTCCTTAGGTGGCCTGCATCAGCTCCAGTATGGATCTCTCCCTCCACTCTCTAACCCACCAGAAGAGTCCTCCCCAGACATGGCATCCTGGGCTCTGCACTGCCTGTGAGGCCCACTCTCTTCCGTCGGGTGTCATACCCCTCCTGCTGCAGCTTCGAGTCCCAACCTTTTTAGGCTGTCCCTATGCATGACCAGCTTCCCCTTAGATGCCCTGGTTTCACTTTCTTTCTGACTCCTCCACATGCCCCAATCCCAAGCGTCCCTTGAGGCGCATCTTAAGAGCTGTCCTATGACACAGCCCCACCTGATGCTCCCAGCCATAGATTCTCTCTCTGCTCACTCCCTCAGCCTGTGTGTGCTTCGTATGACACACATCACTTTGTGCCTTCTCCGCAGTTCTCTCTCTCCTAGGCAATGAGAGCCTCACAGGAAAGGGACGAGGCCTCATTCAGGAGAGTAATATCCAGAGAAGTCACTCAGTAAACACTTGTTGAATGAATAAAACACACCAATCACTCCTCACAAGTTTTATAAAGTCTCAACTGCAGCAGGGCTGTGATGCAGGGACAAGGATCCCTATTTTAAAACCATTTAACCTTGTTTCACCTTTGCTTGGCCTGAGCTAGTAACAAACCCAACCTCACTGCACAGCAGCTTTGGCAGGGCTAGCCCTCAGCTGATGCGTGCTTGCCCTTCCATGGGACGCATGGCCTCTCACCTTCTGCCGGTTTGTTTTGCTTGCAGTGGTTTCCAAATCTGTGTCTTCGTCTGATGCCACGCTGTCATAGTCGGGCTGATCGTTGTCTTGACTCTCAACGCTGTGCTGGTTATTGATGGTTTTCAGTATGAGCTCCACATTGTCTATCAATAAAAGCAAACAACTTTACTTCAGGCTTAAAACATTGCTTTTCTTCCAAAAAACTACGGAGAGGATTTTTTGGTTTAGCCATTTAAAGGACTTAAAGGGCTGAATGCTGTGCTCTTGCCTGTAATCCCAGCATTCTAGGAGGCCAAGGAGGAGAACTGCTTGAGGCCAGGAGTTTGAGACCTACCTAGGCAACACAATGAGACTCCATCCCTACACAATAATTTAAAAATTATCCAGGCCTGGTGTCACAGGCCTGTAGTCCCAGCTACTAGCTACTCAGGAGGCTAAGACAGGAGGATTGCTTGAGCCCAGGAGATTGAGGCTGCAGTGAACCATGACTGCACCACTGTACTCCAGCCTGGGCATCAGAGTGAGGCCCTGTCTCTAAGAGCAAAAACAAAGACAAAAACAAAATGAACAAGGACTGAAAAAAAATGACAGAAATGGCAACGTTATATTCACACCAATACAGAGATAACAGAAAAAGTTTTCAACCAGGTGGACAGCTACATAAGAGACTCCAGCATTCCTCTCATCTACCTGCCAAATATGGGCAAATTAAACAGATGGCTTAGGAAGGAACTGCTCAGATAAAGAAGGCAGGTTCCCAAGTTTCTAGAGATAGAGCCTAGCTCCAGGTCATGAAGATAAGGCTGTAGGTAATGGAAGATAAACTGTAATTCTATGAATACCTATAACATATTTACAAGGTAATGTCACTCAAAACAGAAAGCAAATTGTTAAACTGGAGCCAGAACCTAGGCACTCAAACAATAGAAGCACTGGGCCGGGCGCGGTGGCTCACGCCTGTAATCCCAGCACTTTGGGAGGCCGAGGCGGGCGGATCACGAGGTCAGGAGATCGAAACCATCCTGGTTAACATGGTGAAACCCCGCCTCTACTAAAAATACAAAAAGTTAGCCGGGTGTGGTGGCGGGCGCCTATAGCCCCAGCTACTCGGGAGGCTGAGGCAGGAGAATGGCATGAACCCGCTTGCAGTGAGCCAAGATCATGCCACTGCACTCCAACCTGGGCGACAGAGCAAGACTCCGTCTCAAAAAAAAAAAAAAGAATAGAAACATTGGCATTTAGTCAATTACCTGCATCTCAGCGAGAGAAAGAGATAAAGGAGAATGAATCAAACAAATACACATGTGCATGTTACAGGGAGTGTCTATCCCATAGGGAGCAGGGATTATTCTAGAGGATCTAATACACTTTGAACAAAAGATTTCACAAACTACCCAAGTCTCTCTGATTTCTTTCAGGCAACTCAAACTCTGACTTCTAATATTGTTTCCCAGAGATGTTGAGGAAACAATGGATGGATGATATCTGGGTGATGAATGGTGGTTATTTAAAAAGACTAGGTCCTAGCTGGGCGCAGGGGCTCACATCCGTAATCCCAGCACTTTGGGAGGCTGAGGCAGATGGATCACTTGAGGTCACGAGTTCGAGACCAGCCTGGCCAACATGGCAAAACCCCATCCCTACTAAAAATACAAAAATTAGCTGGGCGTGGTGGTGCACATCTGTAATCCCAGCTACTTGGGAGGCTGAGGCAGGAGAATCGCTTGAACCTAGAAGGTGGAGGTTGCAGTGAGCCAAGACTATGCCACTGCACTCCAGCATGGATGACAGCGAGACTCTGTCTCAAAAAAAAAAAAAATAATAATAATAATAAAGGATAGATCCTATTTTAACTGTTTAAATATTTTAAAACACATAAATATAATTACAGAATAGTCAATATATTCAATTTAGAAACTAATGAACAAGTAAGATAATCACTTATAGCCATTGTTATTTGTTGATCTATTTCTAGGTTTTTCTCCGAGCACTTATAGCCACACACAGTCAATTCTTGTTATGCTTGGTAGTTATGTTCTTTTCTTTTTTTGAGACAGAGTCTCACTCTGTTGCCCAGGCTGGAGTGCAGTGGCGCGATCTTGGCTCACTGCAAACTCCGCCTCCCGGTTTCACGCCATTCTCCTGCCTCAGCCTCCTGAGTAGCTAAGACTACAAGCGCCCGCCACCACACCCAGCTAATTTTTTTGTATTTTTTTAGTAGAGACGGGGTTTCACCGTGTTAGCCAGGAAGGTCTCGATCTTCTGACCTCGTGATCTGCCCACCTCGGCCTCCCAAAGTGCTGGGATTACAGGTGTGAGCCACCGCACCCAGCCTCTTGGTAGTTATGTTCTAAAAAGTTGCTGTGACTTGGCCAATATTAGATCAGTGCTTCTGGGGTTATCAACCAATCAATATATAACCTTGTTCTACGTGTGTTTCTGTTTAAAGATACCTTATTTAATACATAGTATTGATTCATTAACATTGAACTCATGGCCAACGGCACTATAAATCATGCCTGAATGATGCTTATTTAACACACATTTCTCCGTAGGGCACATCACAGCCTTCTTGCACTTAGAAACACTAGACAGCACTTCAGGACTATGCTTGGGGGCCACTTTTTTTCTTTTTTTATTGAGACAGGGTCTCGCTATGTCACCCAGGCTGGAGTGCACTGGCATAATCATAGCTCACTATAGCTTCTAACTCTTGGGCTCAAGTGATCCTCCTGCCTCAGCCTCCTGAGTATGTAGGACTACAGACACATGCCAACACACCTAGAAAATTTTTAAATTTTTTGGTAAAGATGGGGCCTTGCTATGTTGTTCAGGTGTGCACTTTTTTTTTTTTTGAGATGGAGTCTCACTCTGTCATCCAGGCTGGAGTGCAGTGGCACGATCTCAGCTCACTGCATCCTCCACCTCCTGGGTTCAAGTGATTCTCCTGCCTCAGCCTCCTGAGTAACTGGGATTACAGGCACGCGTCACCATGCCTGGCTAATTTTTCTTGTATTTTTAGTAGAGACAGAGTTTCACCATGTTGGTCAGGCTGGTCTCGAACTCCTGACCTCGTGATCAGCCCACCTCAGCCTCCCAAAGTGCTAGGATTACAGGCGTGAGCCACTGCGTCTGGCCAAGGAGACACTTTTGAGATAGGGTCACCCATGCTAGGGTGCAGACGTGATCATGGCTCACTGCAGCCTCAATCTCCTGGGCACTCAATTGATCCTGGGCGGTAGGGGGCCATTTTAAAACAGTGAAATGACCAATGAAAAGCACACAAATATGACTAACATGGCACTAAATAGACCACAGACACTTGTTTATAGCATGAGTGCAGAAACAAGAAGTCAAGGAGTCTCCTCCCTGTTCAATCTCAGCTGGAAACATGTGCTTTTGGTGACTCAATTTTTTTCTCTGCTCTGTACATTTCTTACAATGACCTTGAAAATGCTGTATTAATTTTGAGGTCACAAATTTTAGCAAGTAGATGAATTTGTAAATATGGGATGTGCACATGAGGATCAATTGTGTATTTATATTTACATGTGGTATACTCACTTGTACACACATATTTACATAAATATGTTTTCCTTACAAAACTGGGGTTATACAAAACCTTTTAAAAACTTTATTATTTGGCCAGGTATGGTGGCTCATGCCTGTAATCCCAGCACTTTGGGAGGCTGAGGTGGGCAGATCGCTTAAGGCTGGGAATTCGAGAATAGCCTGGCCAACATGGAGAAACCCCGTCTCTACTAAAAAATACAAAAATTAGCTGGGTGTGGTGGTGCACACCTGTAATCCCAGCTACTCAGGAGGCTAAGGCACAAGAATCACTTGAGCCTGGGTGGCAGAGGTTGCAGTGAGCCAAGATCGCGCCACTGCACTCCAGCCTGGGCGACAGAGTGAGACTCGTCTCAAAAAAAAAAAAACAAAACAAAATCAAACTTTATTACTTTGTCTCATATAATTACTACTATAGTATAAATGTTTCTTCCCTCCAAATCTCATGTTGAAATGTGATCCTCAGTGTTGGAGGGGAGGACTAAAGGGAGGTGTTTGGGTCATGGGGGTGGATCCTTTATGAACTGATCAATGCCCTCCCTTTGTAGTGAGTTCTCGCTCTATTAGTTCCTGCTAGGACCTGGTTATTGAAAAGAGCCTGGCACCTCCCTCCTCGCTCTCTTGCTTCCTCTCTCACCGTGTGATCTCTGCACATGTAGCACCCCTTCACCTTCCATGAGTGGAAGCAGCCTGAGGTTCTCACCAGATGCCCAATCCTCCAGTCAGCAGAATCATTAGCCAAATAAACCTTTTTTCTTTACGAACTACCCAGTCTCAGGTATTCTTTTATAGCCACACAAAAGGGACTAAGACAATTACATATTCTTTTAAAAAAAGATAAGTATGTATTTTTTTTTTTTTTTGAGACGGAGTCTTGCTCTGTCGCCCAGGCTAGAGTGCAGTGGTGCGATCTTGGCTCACTGCAAGCTCCACCTCCCGGGTTCACGCCATTCTCCTGCCTCAGCCTCCCGAGTAGCTGGGACCACAGGCGTCTGCCACCATGCCCAGCTAATTTTTTATATTTTTAGTAGAGACAGGATTTCACCGTGTTAGCCAGGATGGTCTCGATCTCCTGAACTCGTGATCCGCCTGCCTTGGCCTCCCAAAGTGCAGCATGTACTATTTTAAAATGTGACTAATTGTTCCTCTTTATTACTTAGTTGCTTCTAATGTTTGTGTTGTTCTACATATAACATCTCTGATGATTTCCCTTCAGTTAATACCTAAGAGTGGAATTATCAAATCAAAGAGCAGGTATTTTTTAAGACTTTGTTTTTTAAGTTAAAAATTTTTTTTTTTTTGAAAAGGAGTATTGCTCTGTCACTCAGGCTGGAGTGCAGTGGCACAATCTTGGCTCACTGCAAGCTCTGCCTCCCAGGTTCACGCCATTCTCCTGCCTCAGCCTCCTGAGTAGCTGGGACTATAGGTACCCACCACCATGCCTGGCTAATTTTTTGTAGTTTTAGTAGAGACGGGGTTTCACCATGTTAGCCAAGATGGTCTCAATCTCCTGACCTCGTGATCTGCCCACCTCAGCCTCCCAAAGTGCTGGGATTACAGGTGTGAGCCACCGTGCCTGGCCCCCAATTTTTTTTTTTGAGACAGAGTCTCACTCTGTTGCTCAGGTTAGAGTGCAGTGGTGTGATCTCGGCTCACTACAACCTCTGTCTCCCAGGTTCACGCAATTCTCCTGCCTCAGTCTCCTGAGTAGCTGGGATTATACGCGCGTACCACCACGCCCAGCTAATTTTTTTGTATTTTTAGTAGAGATGGGTTTCACCATGTTGGCCAGGCTGATCTCAAACTCCTGACCTCAAATGATCTGTCCGCCTCAGCCTCTCAAAGTGCTGGGATTACAGGCGTAAGGCACCACGCCCAGGCCATTTTAAGACTTTAAACTTATCCAAAGACTCTTGTCACTGTGCCTTCACCAAAATTTAATAAACCTTTTCAGAACTTCCTTATTCCTGGTTGAACAGATAAAATCAAATTCCTGAACAGGAAAGAAGAATGAATGAGTTGTTGTCAGTTAATGATTACTGTCTTTGGGGAATGTGATACTGACTGAAAACTTAATTTTTATGGTACATATTTCTTTTGCTTAAATGACTTACAATGAAAAACGTCTAATTTCTATAATTAGAAAAAACCAATATGGATACAGTAATAGGGCTGGAGAGGAAGGACATTCCTAAGCATGCAGACAGGACCTGGGCTACTGAACTAGACTCAACAGGGCACTGGTGAAACAGATGCTCAGAGCTCTCCTTATAATTGTATATCACAGTAATTCTCACTGAAGACATTTAAAGTTTATGGCAACAAATTTTAATTATGTTGAACTCAGTTTTGTAGGTAAGCAACAGCAGATATTATGCAGTTTCAATCAGGAAGAGTTTTTCTTTTCCGTTTTTTTTTTTTTTTGAAACAGAGTCTTGCTCTGTCACTCAGGCTGGAGTGCAGTGGTGCAATCTCGGCTCACTGCAACCTCCGCCTCCCAGGTTCAAGTGATTCTCCTGCCTCAGCCTCCTGGGTAGCTGGGATTACAGGCGCCCGCCACCATGCCTTGCTAATTTTTGTATTTTTAGTAGAGAGGTGGTTTCACCATGTTGGCCAGGCTGGTCTCGAACTCCTGACGTTAGGTGATCCACCTGCCTCGGCCTCCCAAAGTGCTGGTATTACAGGTGTGAGCCACCACGCCCGGCCAAGAAGAGTTTATTTTCTTATGTCCTTTAACAAGATCTAAGCCAGAGTTTTGGGTTAATTTCAGGATGCAATTTTACAGGGTAGGTTAAGTGTCCCAAAACAAAACAGAAATCATATATAAGATAAATATGTGTAGCAGTTAATAACTCTGAAATATTGTTAATTCACCAGGGCTCAGACAGGTAAACTATTTATCACAATATACTACCAATAAAACTTACAGTGGGTGGGGCTGAGGGGAGGGAACCTAGAGGACAGGTCAATAGGTGCAGCAAACCACCATGGCACACGTATACCTACGTAACAAGCCTGCACATTCTGCACAGGTATCCCGGAACTTAAAGTAAAAAAACAAACAAAAAACCAAAAACCTATAGAACTGTCATGTTGATGACTGCTTTAATTAGTTTATAACTTTAACACCTGAGTCAAATTTAGAGGGCCAAAAAATGCAAGTGTTTGGAGGTTTGAGCAGTTACCTTTTGAACCCGAGAGAGAACTGCCCTGCTGTCTCCTCTTGGCGTCACTGAGAATGTCAATGACCAGCGTGGCAAACTCATGGGCGTTGAACCGAGCTAACTTCTGTCTGCCCTAAAGGTGGGAAAATAATTGGAAATATTTCCCAGTGTAAAAATATATACATAAATAGTCACATAAAACTAGTCAGACTATTGACAGACTTCTGCAAATACTTTCTTCTGGCATGATCAAAGTACAATTAATCCCAGCCATAATCAAACCAAGTTAATGCTTGTTTTCCATATGAACAGTTTAAAACCATTTATATAAGAGAATTTCATAACAAATGTTATGGCATTTCTCACATATGCATTGTTCTCACAATGCAGGTCTATTTTGGTAAGCAAAAATAAAATGGGTCTACTGAATGCTTTTCTTCTATTAATGCTTCAGTTTGGAAGTAGACCCAGTAATAATAAATTAATTTTGAGGGGAATTTTTAAATTTTAAGTTTAGGCCGGGTGCAGTGGCTCACGCCTGTAATCCCAGAACCTTGGGAGGCTGAGGCGGGAGGATCACTTGAGGTCAGGACTTTGTACAAAAATTAGCCAGGCATGGTGGCGGGTGCCTGTAATCCTAGCTACTTGGGGAGGCTGAGGCAAGAGAATCGCTTGGGTCCGGGAGGTGGAGGTTGCAGTGAGCTGAGATGGTGCCACTGCACTCTAGCCTGGACAACAGAGCAAGACTCCGTCTCAAAAGAAAAAAAAAATTTAAGTTAAACAAAATCATAGTCTAGATATTCCCTATCCTTATATATAGCTGCTAATTATAAAGACTAAAACACCTTCATAATTCATTCAACATTTCTCCTCTTGATGGATGTGTTAGCTGTTTTTAATGCTCTATTGTATACAATGGTGCTTTGATGAAAATCACGTGCATAAATCTATTTTTATTTTATTAGAGCATATTCTCAAATGAGAAATTCCCATGTAAAAGGATGTACTTAATTTTGAGGCTTCTGAAACTGGTAAACAAATTGCTTTTCTAACATCTACAGCAATTTAAAGTTCTATCTGTTGCAAGAGAAAGCTCAGCTTACCACATCCTTACCAGTTTGGAGTATCCTTTATTATATATTTTATTAATTTGACTGATAAAACTTGCACTAATGCTTTTAAGTTGCTTTCTTAGATTACTGACAAGGTTAAACATTTCTTCACATTTGTAAGCCATTTATATTTCTTCTGTGAATTGTTTCATATTCTTTCCCAGTCATTTATTTATAGTCTATTGTTTTTCTTATCAATTTGGGGGTTGTGTGTGTATATATGTATAAAGGATATTAAATTTTAATCAATCAAAACATTTAGAATAGTTTTCCTGGGAAAAATGAAACATGACATCAGCCATTCCCCAACTACTATTCCTTTCCAAACTGAGCCACTTGCCTGATTTCGTGTTGATGAGTACTCAGGATTGACCGGAAGAAAGGGGACGACCGTTGTCTCGGTTACCAGGGCGCTGTGGTTTTGCGTGGCAAGCCAGACTAGTCAGAGGAAAGAGCCAGAGACAAACCTCATCACGCCTGTGTGCCACTGCTCCTGGGAGGCACAGCTCACGCACTACGAGGGGAAACACACTCTGAAGCCAACACACGCAAAGGCAAACGTCGACACTCGCACCATCAGGACAGCAGAAATTGGACTAGTAAAACACTGAGCCTGGCAGCTTTTCACTGCCCACTGATAACAGAAGCTTATTAGATAAAGCCACGTCAAGTCACCTGCATCCGTCTCTCGCCTGTCAACTTCATCGTACACATCCATGGCAAGTTCTTCAAACAAATGATTACTTAGCTGAAAATAAAAAATATCAGGAACACAAGGGACAATGATTAATGCCAGGAGGACAAGAGGGAACTGCGACTTAGTCACCCTTTTATTGCCTACGTCTTATCCAATGCCAGTGCTTGGTACATACCCACTGTTAAACAGACATAACATTTTCAAAATCGTACAGGGCCTCTAGAAATGTCTGCCAACCACAGCAATTTCACTACTTTATGACACAGACAGAGCTGCTGCTATTAAGGAGCTAAGAGGCATCTAAAGTGCATCATCTCAGAAGTAGGTTCCAGTTCTCTACTCTTCTTGTGATATCATCCTGTAAGCCTCCTTTTCTGCACTTAAAAGTGCTTATCAGTTCCCCAAAGTATAAGGGAACCTATAACCTTGCAAAAACAGCCAGGCTCAGTGGTGCACACCTATAATCCCAGCACTTTGGGAGACTGAGGCAGGTGGATTGCTTAAGCCCAGGAGTTCGAGACCAGCCTGGGCAACATGGTGAAACCCTGCCTCTACAGAAAATACAAAAACTAGCTGGGCGTGGTGGTGCACACTTGTAGTGCCAACTACTCAGGAGGCTGAGGCAGGAGGATCACTTCAGCCCAGGATATCAAGGCTGCAGTGAGCCAAGATCACACCACTGCACTCCAGGCTGGGTGACAGAGTGAGACCCTATCTCAAAAAAGAAAAAAGAAAAGCAAAAGACATGCTGTTTTGAGAGGATAAAATGTGCCCTTGCACAAAAACGTGACTCAGACCTCAGCTGAGTTTCTTTGCTCTCTTTCTCAGTAGCAGTCCTACTGCTTCAGTCTCCAGAAGGAAGCTTCCTACCAAAGCACAGCCTGACTCTTCAGCACACAACAACCACCTCACAGCCTGCAGTGCCTCCCTGGGCACATGGAGGATAATTGAGGTCTTCCTGGCCCAGATGAGGTTAAGCCTCTTCTGGGGTGGCTCCGCCTCTCTCTGCACTTTCTGCCTCATGCAACACCTTGACACGTGGTAGTTGTGACTCTTAAACTGTCTGACATCTGCTTTGGGAGGGCAGATGCTGAATCTGTTATATTCCCTATTGGGTTCCTTACATCCACACATGGTACCTCACACTTTAAAAGTGGCCAGAAAAGAGGCACTGGCTGGCCAGAAGGGATTTAATGCAGCAATTTAAAATGCTGGCTACAGGCTGGGTGTGGTGGCTCATGCCTATAATCCCAACACTTTGGGAGGCAGAGGCAGGAAGATCACTCACTTGAGCCTGGGAGTTCAAGGCTGCAGTGAGCCACGATGGCACCACTGCACGCCAGCCTGGGTGACGGAGTGAGACCTTGTCTCGAAAAAAAAAGAAAAAACAAGTGCTGGTTACAGAGACCTCATAGGAACATGTTAAAATGGGTACCATATATTACTGAGTGAAAAAAGCAGGTTATAAACGTCTACAATTATGATTAAGTTCCAGTTTTAAAAAAAGATATGCATATAAAACAAGAACTGAAAGAAATGTACCAAAATATTGAGCCTGACTCCATTAAGAGTATAGCAATGAGGATGGTCCCCTTTCTCTATTTTCCAAATCTTCCCAAATGTGGTCGCACTATAATTAAAAACAAACCCAGAGAGCCTGTTGCTAGACAAGATGTTGAAGGATTGGGAGCTTGACTTTGCTTCATAAATATCTAGTTTCTTCCTCCATGGGACTACAAGCTAATGTTATTATTACTAGCAACAACTACAATGGCCAACGCTGATTATGGGCTTATATCCCAGGCACTGTGCTAACAGTATCATATTTCACTTATAACACCTCTATGAAAACAGGAACTACTATTGTCCCATTTTTAAGACAAGAAAACTGAGGCAGAGAAGATAGTAGCTTGCCTAAAGTCACAAAGCTAGTGACAGACCTGAGATCCAAGTTTACATCTTTGAAAATGCTAACATTTACTCATTCAAGGAATACATTAGCCTTTGTTATATTTCTCTCAGTTCTTCATCAGGAGGGAGGGAAGGAAAAGAGAAAGGAAAGAAAGGATGAAGGGAGGAAGAGAGGGAGGACAGGAGGAAGATACTGGAGGATAAACACTGACCTGGCGCTGATAAGATGGTCACCTATGAGAAGGAGACCACAGGGTGAGGGTCAACAAGTAATGGGGCAGCCCACTCTGAGCAGTTCTGGCCGGCAGCCCCTGCAGGATCCTTATCTCCCTCTTCTATGAGAGGATGCCAAGGCACAGGGAGGCTAGGAAGCTTGGCAGGGCTGAGATATGTACTGACCAGTCTGACTCAGAGCTGCAGCTCTGGAGAGCTATACTAGACTCTGTTCCAGGTCTTTACTTCATGCCTGCCACGTGCTAGAGATATTACAAGCATAATCTCAGCTTTCATGCAGCTTCCAGTGAAGCAAATGTAGGATAGTCTAAGAAAACGTGGGTTTTTATCTAGGTTTGAATTATTTATAATAAAATTTACTTACAGATTGTGAGTAATTAAAAGGAAATCACACAATATTTAGTGCTATCTGACTCCAAAGCTTATCATCTTGATCATCTTAGTTTACAACTTCCTTAAGGCAATAAAACACACAGACACACAAAACTGTAGATACAGAACACAGAGACACCAAACAAATTGCATAAAACACATTTATTTCATAATACAGTTAAATACTAGTAAGGATAAATTCATTTAATGTAATATTTAATACTGAGTATTATATGAAGTTTTAGTAAAGGGTCTTCTGTGAAAACAGAAATGAGGAGAAAGTCATAAATGAGGGAAGCTGCAATGTCAGAGTCAGGCTTTGGGAAAGCCGCTACCTACACTGGTCAGATTTCAGGTCCTTGAATCAGAGAGATGGAAGCTGGGAAAGGCAAACGCTGTAGGCAAAGCAGGATTCCTGGAAGAGGACTTGAATGTGCAGCTCATGGCCTCAGAGGGTGTTAATCTAAAGACACACACACACACACACACACACACACACACACACACACACACACACACACACACGGAACCAGATGGGAAGCAGGGCAATCTCTGAAAGGTGAGAGCTGAATGATGCCCTTACAGGTTACAAAAAGAAGTTAAGAATCTTGGTTCTGATCCAAAGAGCAATGGGAACAGCTGAGGAGTATACTTTGGTGGTTAAAGTGGAGAGAAGTGCCCCGGTGAGGCTTCATGTGAGAGAACTAGACAAAGAGAAGTCAATCCCAGAGAAGTAGATTTCCCAGGGCCTTGAGGCCTTGGGCCCTTAGGCCTTTCCTAAGGCTGAGGTGGGCAGTCTGGAAGAAAGACACAGGCTAAAGGGAGGTTGTGGCACAGAGCCGGCAAACTCTGAGCACGCACATGGGCCAAGACCACCAGCTTTTAACAGCAGAAATTTAAAAAGCACTGATGAATGGCATGGGATGGGAAAGAGGTTTACAATATGGCTGGATCCAAATGGCAGCCAGTGAATCTATGGGACTCGCCACCATTTCAGCATCAGCATTTACCAGCTCTAGAACCCTACATGGCTAAGTCACCCCAAGAACGCGTGCCCTACTTACTCATGACACTGAGAGGAACTAGGGAACTCTCCTGAGGAGAACAACTGCCTAATGCCAAAGGTGCCATCTGCACTTGTTACATGATAGAGAAAAATGAGATTATCTGAAGCAGAACCAATGAACTGAATATACTGAACTTAATAGTCCTTGTGGTCATCACTGCTGTATACTCAACAGTCTGCTTCTAGTTTAACAAATAAAAGTATGAAATAAAGTCATCAGACGCAATAGGTAACCTGCATTCAGAGTAGGTATCAGCAGGGTGCACTGATTCTCATACTAGAGAAAACCAGTACAGAGAAATACTCACAGATTGAAGTTTCTTCTTAGCAGCTTTTGCCAATTCAGACAAATCCAGGCTGCTAAGAAAACATACAAAGCTAATAAGCAAATAAATAAAGCCAGACTTGTGAACTCTGTAAAGTTTAAGACACCCAAGAGATAAAAATATTAATTACAGTTCATGGACCATGTTAGAACCAAGCATTCTACAGCCCAGTAGAGTCAGTGAGGAGCTCTAAACAGAACAATCTGGTGAAAGTAACTCCTTCTGAAATACCACAATCATGTAAGTGTTAAAGAGGAAAAAAAAATCGTCCACCAACTAAACGACAAAAGCTATTGCCAGGTTACCTTCCAGGCCCTTATGTGAGGAGTCACAATTTTTGAAGTATTAAAAAAAAAGCATGATATAAGAAAATATGTCGGGCTCGATGGCTCCCGCCTATAATCCCAGCACGTTGGGAGGCCGAGGTGGGAGGATCACAAGGTCAGGGTTGTTTTTTTTTTTTTTTTTTTGAGATGGAGTCTCACTCTGTCACCCAGGCTGGAGTGCAGTGGCGCAATCTCAGCTCACTGCAATCTCTGCCACCAGGGTTTAAGCAATTCTCCTGCCTCAGCCTCCAGAGTAGCTGGGATTACAGGCACACGCCACTGTGCCTGGCTAATTTTTGTATTTTTAGTAGAGACAGGGTTTCACCATCTTGGCCAGGCTGGTCTCGAACTCCTGACCTCGTGATCCACCCGCCTCGGCCTCTCAAAGTGCTGGGATTACAGGTGTGAGCCACTGCCCTGGCGAGGTCAGGGGTTTGAGACCAGCCTGGCCAACATGGTGAAACCCCATCTCTACTAAAATTACAAAAAATTAGCCTGGTGTGGTGGCACACACCCATAGTCCCAGCAACTCGGGAGGCGGAGACAGGAGAATTGCTTGAACCTGGGAGGTGGAGGTTGCCCTAAGCCTAGACTGCACCATTGCACTCCAGTCTGGGCGACAGAGCAAGACTCTGTCTCAAAAAAAAAAAAAAAAAAAAAGAAAGAAAAGAAAATACAAGGCCAGATATAGTTGCTCATAGGGAGGCCAGGGCAGGTGGATTGCTTGAGTCCCGGAGTTTGCAACCAGCCTGGGTAACAGAGCAAGACCCTGTCTCTACCAAAGCAAAAAAAAACAAAACAAAACAAAACAAAAAGGGAAGATGTAAAAGATCAGGATGGCAAGATTATATCTGGAATAGCAGTTAGTCATTTCATAAACTCTTGACAGTTTCCGTGCAAAGGTAACTTGCAAAACAAGGGTTTAAGGATCATTCCTGTAGCAATGAACTCATCTGCTCTTATAGACCAGGGGTCAGAAAAATTATGGCCTTCTTTTTGTTCAGTTGAGCTAGGAATGGTTTTTACGTTTTAAAATGTTTGGGGGCAAAAAGAAAAAACAATATTTCATAACGTGAAAACTATTTGAAATTCAAATTTCAGTGTCCAGAAATAAAATTTCACTGGAATAGACACACCCATTCATTTATAGAGTGTCCACAGATGCTTTCATCTACAACAGTAGAGTTAAGCTGTTGCGAAAGCGGCCATATTACCCACAAAGTCTAAAATATTTATTAATTGGCCCTTGAGAAGAAAAGTCTGCCAACCCCTGTCATAGATAATGTAATCTCCTATAATACAGAAGTATTCTGTAAATAAATAAATACAAAATACTGTCACAACTGGCTAAAACAGTGACAATATCACTGGTTTCAATTTTCCTATTAGTAAAATTGCTACTTGTGCTCTTTGAAACTTAAGTTTTATATAGTGGTTTACTTACAGCCGTCTTATTTCCAAATGGTATAGCCATAAAAGAGAAAAATGTATGGGCTTTGTTAAACACAAAATATAATATACTTAAACATAATACAACCAAGGAAATATTAGCGATAGACAAAACTAACTGGTATTTCAATGAGCTTACCTGTCTGCCATTTGAGGTATTATAAAGTGCTGTCCATTTTTGTGATCTGAAACAGAAACCAAGTCAAAGTTTTGTTCATAGAAATGTTGATAAGATCTGTAAAGGAACATCACCATTATTTCCTCAAACTAAGTTTTGCGATTAGTATTTGTGCATAATGACGAGTCATGTTGCTAGACTAGCTAAAAATTCCTGAAGACCCAGCTAGTAGTAAGGCTCATAGCCTTGTTTTTTTCTGGTACAAAGGTCCAGGCATCATTTAGCAGAAACCTATGCTCACCCCAATCACGACGATTAGTTTGCCCTCAGTGTAACTGACGATCTTTGGCCATGGAAAGTGTGCTGAGGGAGCTGAATCAGCTCACAGCAGGTGTCCATCAGCCCACGGTGTGGGACAGTGGATGAGCTCTAGGTCTTGCTCAAATGAATCTATTAGTATAAAACAGCTAGGGCTGGGACAGGTGGCCTTTGCAGATCCAGACAGGGACTCCATCTGCAAGGAAGCTTACTGACTCAGCCCTAATCTAGCTCCTGGAGAACACTGATCCATGTGCCAATGAATAACGCCACTATCAGCACTCCTATGTAGGTTTTTCTTTAACATAAGTCTATCTTTCTTCTGGGTAAAGACCCAGGAGTAGAAATGCTGGGTTATATGGTAAATGTATGTTTAACTTGGTAAGAAACTGCCAGACCTTTTCCCTTGAGTAGCGCTATCACTTTGTTTTCCAAACAGCAATGTGAGAGTTACAGTTGCTTCCTGTCTTTCCCAGCACCTGTACTTTCAGTTTTTGTTTTTAAAAGTTTAATCATTCTAATAGGTATGCTGTGGCATCTCATTGTGCTAATGACTAATCATGCCACGCTTGTCTTCATGTGATTTTTTTTTTTGCCATCCCATATCTTGTCTTTGCCCAGTTTTTATTGGGTTGTTTTCTTACTGTTGAGTTTTAATTTTAATTAATTAACTTATTTATTTATTTGAGACAGAGTTTCACTCTTGTTGCCCAGGCTGGAGTGCAATGGCGCAATCTCGGCTCACCGCAACCTCCGCCTCCTGGGTTCAAGCGATTCTTCTGCCTCAGCTTCCTGAGTAGCTGGGATTACAGGCATGCGCCACCACGCCCAACTAATTTTGTTTTTTCAGTAAAGATGGGGTTTCTCCACGTTGGTCAGGCTGGTCTTGAACTCCTGACCTCAGGTGATCTGCCTGCGTCGGCCTCCCAAAGTGCTGGGATTACAGGTGTGAGCCACTGTGCCCAGCTTATTTATTTATTTTGAGTCAGGGTCTCACTCTGCCCCCCATGGCTGGAGTGCAGTGGCGTGGATCTCGGCTCACTGGCAACCTCCACCTCCTGGGTTCAAGCGATTCTCATGCCTCAGCCACCTGAGTAGCCAGGACTACAGGCGTGCACTGCTACACCCGGCTAATTTTTTTATATTTTTAGTAGAAACAGGGTTTCGCCACATTGCCTAGGCTGGTCTCAAACTCCTGGGCTCAGGTAATCCACCTGCCTAAGCCTCCCAACGTGCTGAGATTACAGGCGTGAGCCACCGTGCTCGGCCTGAGTTTTTAAAATTCTTTGAATATTCTAAATATGAGTAATTTGCTGGATATGTGATTTCCAAATACCTGTATTTTTCTCCCAGTCTGTTGCTGGTCTTTTCACTTTCTTAACTAGTTTTCTCAGAACAAAACTTTTCCTTTTTTTTTTTTTTTTTTTTTTGAGATGGAGTTTTGTTCTTGTTGCCCAGGCTAGAGTGCAATGGTGCAATATTGGCTCATTGCAACCTCTGCCTCCCGGGTTCAAGCAATTCTCCTGCCTCAGCCTCCCAAGTAGCTGGGATTACAGGCATGCACCACCATGCCTGGCTAACTTTTTGTATTTAGTAGAGATGCAGTTTCACCATGTTAGTCAGGTTGGTCTTGAACTTCAGACCTCTGGTGATCCACCTGCCTTGGCCTCCCAAAGTGCTGGGATTACAGGTGTGAGCCACTGCACCTGGCCAAAAATTTTCAATTTTGATGAAGTATAATTTATCAATATTTTCTTTTATGCATTGAGTTTTGGTGTTATATTTAAGAGGTTTCTTTTTCCCCCTTGCAGAGGCAATGTCTTGCTCTGTCACCCAGGCTGGAGTACAGTGGCATAGTCATAGCTCACTGCAGCCTCGACTTCCTGGGCTCAAGTGATCCTCCTACTTCGGCCTCCCAAAGTACTAGGATTACAGGCGTGAGCCACCATACTCAGCTGATAGCTAAAAGCTTTCATCCAAGATCACAAAGATTTTCTCTTATGTTTTCTTTTTTTTTTTGAGACGCGGTCTCACTCTGTCGCCCAGGCTGGAGTGCAGTGGTGTGATCTCGGTTCGCTATAACCTCCGCTTCCTGGATTCAAGCGATTCTCCTGCCTTAGCCTCCTGAGTAGCTGGGACTACAGGCATTCACCACCATGCCTGGCTAATTTTTGTATTTTTAGTAGAGACGGGGTTTCACTATGTTGGCCAGGCTAGCCTCAAACTCCTGACCTCAGGTGATCCACCCGCCTTGACCTCCCAGAGTGCTGGCATTACAGGCATGAGCCACCGTGCCCGGACCTCTTACATTTTCTTCTAGAAGTTTTACAGTGTCAGGTTTTACATTTAGATCTATGATCCTTTCTAGTTTCGGGGTAAGGTGTGAGGTTTAGGTTGAAGTTCACTTTCCTGCACATGGATGTCCGGTTGTCCCAATGCATTAAAAAGAATATCCTGGGGCGGGTGCAGTGGCTCATGCCTGTAATCCCAGCACTTTGGGAGGCCGATGCGGGCAGTTCACGAGGTCAGGCGACCAACACCATCCTGACTAACACGGTGAAACCCCATCTCTACTAAAAATACAAAAAATTACCTGGGTGTGGTAGAGTGCGCCTGTAGTCCCAGCTGCTCGGGAGGCTGAGGCAGAAGAATCACTTGAACCCGGGAGGCCGAGGTTGCAGTGAGCCAAGATCCCACCACTGCACTCCAGCCTGGGTGACAGAGCAAGACTCCGTCTTAAAAAAACAGAAAACAACAACAACAACAAAAAACTATCCTTCCTCCACCACTGAACTGATTACCTTTGCACTTTTGACAAAAATCAATTGAACATATTTGTGTGGATCTATCTCTGGATTCTCTATACTGTTTCAATGGTCTATATGTCTATCTCTTCATAGATATCACAGTCTTGAGAACTGTACAGCTTCATAGCAATTCTGAAAAATTGGGTGCTGTACTTCCTTCCACATTATTCTTCTGCAAAATTGTCTGGGCTACTCTAGTTCCTTCACCCTTCCATTTGAATTTTTAAATTATTATTATTATTTTTGGAAATGAGGTCTCACTCTGTTGCCAAGGCTAGAGTGCAGTGGCACGATCATGGCTCACTGCAGCCTCAACCTCCTGGGCTCAGGTGATCTTCCCACATCAGCCTCCTGAGTAGGTGAGACCACAGGCATGCACCATCACACATGGCTAATTTATTATTTGTAGAGATGAGGTCTCACCATGCTGCCCAGGATAGTCTCAAACTCCTGGGCTCAAGTAGTCCTCCCGCCGTGGCCTCCCAAAGTGCTGGGATTACAGGCGTAAGCCACTATACCTGGCCTCCATTTGAATTTTAAAATCAGCATGTCTATGTCTAATAAAAAATCCTCAATTGAAGTAAATTTATACATTTATTAACTTGTGGAGAATTGACATGTTATTGAGTCTTCATATCCATAAGCACAGTACATCTCTCCACTTATTCAGGTCTTCATTGATTTCTTTCATCAGCAGTTTTTGGCATATAGATACTACATGTATTGTGTATTTCATTAGATTTATACCTAAGTATTTAATTTGGAGCTTTTTAATTTTTTTGAGACAGAGTCCCACTCTGTCGCTCAGGCTGGAGTGCAGTGGCAAGATCTCAGGCTCACTGCAACCTCTACCTCACAGGTTCAAGCGATTCTCCTAACTCAGCCTCCCGAATAGCTGGGACTACAGGCGCCCACCACCATGCCCAGCTAATTTTTGTATTTTTAGTAGAGACAGGGCTTCCCCATGTTAACCAGGCTGGTATCGAACTCGACCTCAGGTGACCCACCCCCTTCTGCCTCCCAAAGTGCTGGGATTATAGGTGTGAGCCACTGTGCCCAGCCAATTTGGAGCTTTTATTACTGGTATTGCTTTTCTAGATTCAGTTTCCAATTGCTCACTGCTAGTCTAAAGAAATGTGATGGATTTTTGGCAGGGTGCGGTGGCTCACACCTGTAATCCCAGCACTTTGGGAGGCCAAGGTGGGTGGATCACCTGAGGTCAGGAGTTCCAGAGCAGCCTGGCCAACATGGCGAAACCCTGTCTCTACTGAAAATACAAAAAATTAGCCAGGCATGGTGGGGGGCACCTGTAATCTCAGCTACATGGGAGGCTGAGGCAGGAGAATTGCTTGAACCCGGGAGGCGGAGGTTGCAGTGAGCCGAGATCACACCACTGCACTCCAGCCTGGGTGACAGAGCAAGACTATCTCAAAAAAAAGGGAAAAAAAAATATATATATATATATGGATTTTTGGCTGTTGACCTTGTATTCTTGCAATCTTGTTTAACTCAAGGTTCTGGAAACCTTTTTGTAGGTTCCTTGTGATTTTCTACATAGAAATCATCTCATTTGAATGGGGACAGTTTGATTTCTTCCTTTTCAATCTGTATGCCTTTTATTTATTTTTCTTGCCTCTTGGCACTGGTTAGGATTTCCAGTGTGATGTAGAAGAGAAATGGTAAGAGTGGACACCCTAGTCTTTCTCCCAATTTGAAAGCAAACACAGTCTTTCATCATTAAATAGATACTGTTTATCAGATCAAGGAAGTCTCATCTATTCCTAGTTTGCTAAGAGTTTTTTTAAAACATGAATGGATGTTGAAGTTTGTTGAATGCTTCTTCTGCATCAACTGATATGATTACATAGTTTTTCGTTTTTACTGTTAACTTGATAGATTACATTAACTGATTTTTTTTTTTTTTTGAGACACAGTCTCGCTCTGTCGCCCAGGCAGGTGAGCAATGGCGCAATCTCAGCTCACTGCAACCTCTGCTTCCCGGGTTCTAAGTGATTCTCCTGCCTCAGCCTCCCAAGTAGCTACATGCATGCACCACCATGCCCAGTTAATTTTGTATTTTTAGTAGAGACGGGGTTTCACCATGTTGGCCAGGCTGGTCTCAAACTCCCGACCTCAGGTGATCCACCCACCTTGGCCTCCCAAAGTGTTGGGATTACAGGCGTGAGCCACTGCACCTGGCCTGATTTTCAAATATTAAATCAGTCTTGCCTATCTGGAAATCCCACTTGGTTATGTTGCATTTTTCTCTATTTTTTTTTGAGACAGGGTCTCACTCTGTCACCCAGACTAGAGTACAGTGGTGCGAACACAGCTCACTGTAGCCTTGACCTCCTGGGCTCAAGCAATCCTCTCACCTCAGCCTCCAGAGTAACTGGGACTACAGGCACGTGCCATCAGGCTAGGCTGATTTTTTTGTTGTTGCAGTTTTGTAGATGGGGTCTTGCTATGTTGCCCAGGCTGGTCGCAAACTCTTGGCCTCAAACAATCCTCCTACTTCGGCCTTTCAAAGTGTTGTGATTACCACTGTGAGCCACTATGCCTGGTCTGTATTACTATTATTATTATTGTTATTATTAGAGATGGAGTCTGACTCTGTCACCCAGGCTGGAGTGCAGTTGCACAATCTCAGCTCACTGCAACCTCTGCCTCCCAGGTTTAAGCGATTTTCCTGCCTCAGCCTCCCAAGTAGCTGGGATAACAGGCGCCCACCATCATGCCCAGCTAATTTTTGTATTTTTAGTAGAGACGGAGTTTCACCATGTTGGCCAGGCTGGTCTCTAACTCCCCACCTCAAATGATCTATCTGCCTCAGCCTCCCAAAGTGCTGGGATTACAGGCATGAGCCATCGCGCCCGGTCTGCTTTGTATTTTTTTTTAATTATCCTTCCATGTCTGTGGGGTTTATAGTGACAACTCCATCTGTACACTCTCCTTTTTGTCAGTATTGCCAGACATTTATGAGTTTTACTAATCCTTCTGAAAAACCAGCTTTGGTTTCATTGATTTTTCGCTACTGTTTCCTTCTTTCAGTTTCATTGATTTTTCGCTACTGTTTCCTTCTTTCAGTTTCATTGATTTCTGCTCTTTACTATTTGCTGCCTTCTGTTTGGTTCAGGTTTATTTTGCTCTTTTTTTTTTTAAAGTTTCTTAAGGGAGGAGCTTATATTAATAATTTGAGGCTAGGCGCGGTGTCTCACGCCTGTAATCCCAGCACTTTGGGAGGCTGAGGCAGGCAGATCATTTGAGGTGGGGAGTTAGAGACCAGCCTGGCCAACATGGTAAAACTCCATCTCTACTAAAAATACAAAAATGTGCCAGGCATGGTGCTGCATGCCTATAATCCCAGTTCCTCAGGAGGCTGAGGCAGGAGAATCACTTGAACCTGGGAGGGGGAGGTTGCAGTGAGCCAAGATCACATCACTGCACTCCAGCCTGGGTGACAGAGCAAGACACCATCTCAAAAAATAATGATGAGAATGATTTGAGACCTTTCTTCTTTTCTAAGGTAAGAATTTAATACTATAAAGTTTCCTCTAAGCATTGCTTTGGCTGCATCCCAGAAATTCTGATATGCTGCATTTTCATTTTCATTCAGTGGAAAATATTTTTTCCCTTAAGACTTCCTCTTAGATCGATGGATTAGTTAGAAGTGTGTTGTTCAGGGCCGGGCACGGTGGCTCACACCTGTAATCTCAGCACTGTGGGAGGCTAAGGTGGGTGGATCACCTGAGGCCAGGAGTTGGAGACCAGCCTGGTCAACATGGTGAAACCCCATCTCTACTAAAAATACAAAAATTAGCTGGGTGTGGTAGCACGTGCCTGTAATCCCAGTACTAGGGAGGCTGAGACAGGAGAATTGCTTGAACCCAGGAGGCAGAGGTTGCAGCGAGCCAAGATTGCGCCACTGCACTCCAGCCTGGGCAACAGCGCGAGGCTCTGTTTCCAAAAAAAAGCAGCATGTTGTTCAACTTCCAAGCACTTGGGTATTCTCCAGTTTTATTTGTATTACCTATCTGTAGCTTAATACTATTATGGTCTGAAAATATACTTTATAGAATTTTAATTCTTTTAGATTAGCTAAGGTTTGTCTTATGACCCAGGATATGGTCTATCTGGGTGTATGTTCAATATGTACTTGAAAAGAATGTGTATTCTAATGTTGTCAGGTAGAAGAGTCTATAAACATCAACTAGATCTAGTTGGGTTTTGGTCTGGTTTAGTTCTATATCCTTACTGATTTTCTATCTACTAGTTCTATCTATTACTAAAAGATGAGTGTAGAGTCTCCAACAATAATTGTAGATTTGACCTTCTCTCCTTTTAGTTCTATCAAAGTTTGCTTCATGTATTTTGAAGGTCTGTTGCTGGATGTGTACACATTTAGAACTATTATGCCTTCTTGATGAATTGACTCATTTATGATAATATTATGTCCCTCTCTATCCGTGCTAATATTCCCTCCTCTGAAGTCTACTTTGTCTGATATTAATATAGCCACCCTAGCTTTCTTTTCCTGAGCCTTTACATGGTATATCTTTTTATACTTTTGGTTTTTAACTTATTACCTATATTGTTATATTTAAAATGGGTTTCTTGTAGACAGTATATATTAGGCCTTATGGTTTTTTGTTTATTTCTTGAGGCAGGGTCTTGCTCTGTTGCCCAGGCTGGAGAGCAGTGGCATGATCAGCACTCACTGCAGACTTGACCTCCTGAGCTCAAGTGATCCTCCCACCTCAGCCCCTCCTGAGTAGCTGAGACTATGGGCATGCACCACCATGCCTGGCTGCTTTCTATAAAATTTTTTGTAGTGAAAGGATCTTGCTCTGTTGCTTGGGCTGGTCTCAAACTCCTATGCTTAAGCGATTAGGAGAATTGCTTCAGGCTCCCTGAAGTGTTGGGATTACAGGTGTGAGCCATAGCTCCCAGCCCCTTTTGTTTTTTAATCCATTCTGAGAATCTCTGCTTTTCATTGATGTGTTTGGGTCATTAACATTTAATGTAACTATTGATATGTACGGACTTAAGTCTATAATGTTATTATTTATTTTCTATTTGGTCCTTAGTTTTTTGTTCTCCCCCTCCTCTTTTGAATATTTTGAATCAAAATATCTTTTGATGATTTGAGTAATTTTTAATACTCCATTTTCATTTACCTCTAGCATTTTTGATCACATATCTTTGTAGTCTTTTTTTTTTTTTTTTTTTAGATGGAGTCTCACTCTATCACCCAGGCTGGAGTGCAGTGGCATGATCTCGGCTCACTGCAACCTCTGCCTCCCGGGTTCAAGCAATTCTCCTGCCTCACCCTCCCAAGTAGCTAGGACTACAGGCACGTACCACCATGCCTAGCTAATTTTTGTATTTTTAGAAGAGACAGGGTTTCACCATGTTGGCCAGGATGGTCTCAATCTCTTGACCTCATGATCTGCCCACCTCAGCCTCCCAAAGTGCTGGGATTACAGGCACTACACCGTGCCTGGCTTGTAGTCTTCTTTCAGTGGTTATGGTAGAAATTACTATACACACACACACACACAAACACACACACACACAACTTTTCACAGTCTACTTAGAAATCCTATTTTACATTTCCAGTAGAAGGTAGAAATCTTACCATTATATTTTTTACCCTATCCCCTTTTATATTATAGTTGTCAAATATATTACACTGATATATGCTGAAAACCCTACTAGATAATTTTTTTTTTTTTTTTTTTGAGACGGAGTCTCACTCTGTCGCCCAGGTTGGAGTGCAGTGGTGCAATCTCAGCTCACTACAAGCTCCGCCTCCCGGGTTCACGCCATCCTCCTGCCTCAGCCTCCCGAGTAGCTGGGACTACAGGCGCCCACCACCACGCCCGGCTAATTTTTTGTATTTGTAGTAGAGACGGGGTTTCATCGTGTTAGCCAGGATGGTTTTGATCTCCTGACCTCGTGATCTGCCCACCTCGGCCTCCCAAAGTGCTGGGATTACGGGCGTGAGCCACCGCGCCTGGCGTTTTCTTTTCTTTTTTTTTTTTTTTGAGATGGAGTCTCCCTGTCGCCCAGGCAGGAGTGCAGTGGCACGATCTCGGCTCACTGTAACCTTTGCCTCCTAGGTTCAAGTGGTTCTCCTGCCTCAGCCTCCTGAGTAGCTGGGTTTACAGGCATGTACCACCATGCCCGGTTAATTTTTGTAGTTTTAGTAGAGACAGGGTTTCACCATGTTGGTCAGGCTGGTCTCAAACTCCTGATGTCAGGTGATCCGCCTGCCTCGGCCTGCCAAAGTGCTGGGATTACAGGCTTGAGCTACTGCACCTGGCTGACAATGTTACAGCTTTAAGATATGTATGACAATTTCAACTTTTTGTTTGTTTCTTGAGACAGGGTCTTACTCTGCCACATCTTTAACATTTCTGTTGTTTTTCTTTCATTCCTAAAGTTCCAAGATTCCCTCTGGCATCATTTCCCTTCCACCCAAAGAACTTTCTCTAGCATTTCTGTTAAAGTAAAGAATAATTCTTTTTTTTCCTGTTAGAATGTCCTTATTTTGCCTTCATTCCAAAGTTATTTTCATTGGATATAGAGTTCTGGGTTCACAGCTCTTTTCTTTTAGCACTTTAAAAGTATTGTTTCTACCATCACAAAGAAGATGAGAAAAAATAATAATAATAAAAAAGGAGCAGTGGCTCATGCCTGTAATCGGGAGGCCCAGGTGGGTGGATTACTTGAGCTCAGGAATTCAAGACCAGCCTGGGCAACATGGTGAAACCCCATCTCTACAAAAAATACAAAAGTTATCTGGGCACAGTGGCACACACCTGTAGTCCCAGCTACTGTGGATGCTGAGGTGGGAGGATCACTTGAGCTCAAGAGGTTGAGGTTTCAGTGAGTCGAGATCACGCCACTGCACTCCAGCCTAGGCGATGGAGTGAGACCCTGTCTCAAAATAATAATAATAATAAAAGTATTATTCTGGCTGGGTGAGGTGGCTCATGCCTGCAGTCCCAGCCCTTTGGGAAGCCGAGGTGGGCGGATCACGAGGTCGGGAGTTCGAGACCAACCTGGCCAACATGGTGAAACCCCATCTCTACTAAATATGCAAAAATTAGCCGGGCATGGTGGCAGGCACGTGTAATCCCAGCTACTCAGGAGGCTGAGGCAAGAGAATCGCTTGAACCTGGGAGGCGGAGGTTTCAGTGAGCCAAGATTGCACCACTGCACTCCAGCCTGGGCAACAGAGAGATACTCCATCTCAAACAAACAAAGTATTATTTCATTTCCTTCTCATCTCTATGGTTTCTGATAAGAAATCCACAATCATTCAAATCACTGTTTTTCTATATATGTTATGTGTCACTTTTTCCTGGCTGCTTTCAAGATGTTTTCTTCAACTTTAGTTTTCAACAGTTTGATTTTGATGTGTCTCAACTGTGGATTTGAGTTTATCTTCTTTGGAATTTTCTAAGTTTCTTGAATCTGTAAGTTTATGTCTTTCACCAAATTTAGAGGTTTTTTTTTTTTTTTTTTTTTTTTGAGACGGAGTTTCGCTCTGTTGCCCAGGTTGGAGTGCAGTGGCTCAATCTGGACTCACTGCAACCTCTACCTCCCAGGTTCAAGTGATTCTTGTGCCTCAGCTACCTGAGTAGCTGGGATTACAGGTGCGCACCAACATGCCCGGCTACTTTTTGTATCTTTAGTAGAGATGGGGTTTCACCATGTTGGCCAGGCTGGTCTCAAACTCCCAACCTCAAATGATCTGCCCGCCTCAGCCTCCCAAAGTGCTGGGATTACAGGTGTGAGCCATTGAGCCTGTCCCAAATTTAGAGGGTTTTTTTGGCCAATATTTCTTCAAATACGTTTTCTGCACACACCACTCTTTCTCATCTCTTATTGGGAATCCAACGACATAAATGTCAGACATTTTAGTATTTTCCCACAGGTCCCTGAGACTCTGTTCAGTCTTTTCTTCCTACTCTTTTTTCCTCTCTGTTGCTTAAACCAGATAATTTCTAGTGATCTGTTTTCAATTCATTGACTTTCTTTGTCATCTCTATTCTTCTATTAAGCCCATCCAGTAAGTTTTAAATTTTTAGTGTTTGTATTTTTCAGTTCTAATATTCCTATTTGGTTCTCTTCTGTATCTTCTATTTCTCTGATGGGACTTTCTATATTCCTGTTTGTTTCAAGAATGTTTGCTTTTACTTCTTATAGCATGGTCTTACTAGCTGCTTTAAAATCTTTGTCTGATAACGCCAACATTTGTGTCATCTTGGGGTTGGCATCTGTTGGCTGCCTTCCCTGGCAAGTACATGAGAATTACTCAGATGTCAAGTCATTATGGATGATATCCTAGACACTGTGAATGTTTTGTTATGAGACTCTGGGCCTTCTTTAAACTTTATGCAAAAATGTTCATATTTTTGTCTTAGCAGGCAACTGACCAGGTGAGGTTCTGCCTCCTGGGCAGATGGTGAGAGAATAGAGAGAAAAAGACAAGCAATCAGGATCCCCCCTCATCCCCTTGCTCAGAGATTTAGGAACCTGTGCTGCCACTGCTGCTGCTGCTATTGCAGCCACAGGCTTGCCTAGGGGCTGGATGGGAGAGATCAGAAAAAGGAAGGAGGAGGAGGAAAAAACCCCAGGGGAATCCCCTTCCTCTCTGTCCTGTAGAAGTCCCATTTCCTGCTCTTTAACCAGAAAAAGGCTTTTTTTTTTTTTTTTTTTTTGAGATGGAGTCTCATTCTGTCACCCAGGCTGGAGTGCAGTGGCGCAATCTTGGCTCACTGCAACCTCTGCCTCCTGGGTTCAAGCAATTCTGCCTCAGCCTCCCGAGTAGCTGGGACTATAGGCGCCTGCCACCATGCCCAGCTAATTTTTTTGTATTTTTAGTAGAGACAGGGTTTCACCATGTTGGCCAGGATGATCTGGATCTCCTGACCTCATGATCCGCCCACCTCAGCCTCCCAAAGTGCTGGGATTACAGGCGTGAGCCACCGCACCCCGCAGAAAAAGGCTTTTTTGCACTCATTATGTACCTCCAGGTTTCAGGCTGTCATTGAAGTCCTATCAGAAGTAAGACAAACAGGACACTCACCACCAGCTGATGACACTTTTGAGTTCCCTAATCTACCAACCAGGATTTACTTTTCAGAGTCTTTAGCTAGCTACTCCAAGCATTTGGTCCAGGTCTGTTAGTTCTATTTTGCAGGAGACACGGTGGGGTGTGCTTACTCCATCTCACCCAGAACTGAAACTATACCAGAGGCTCTTAACTCTATCATACAACCAGGATGGAGAATCACTGCATACATGTATGTGAATGTTGTACATCAGGGGTTGGCCAATATTTTCTTTAAAGGGCCAAATAGTAAATATTTTAGGCTTTGTGGCCATCTGGCCTGTTGCAACGACTTAACCTATTCAACTCTGCTGTTGTTATGTGAAAGCAGCCATACACAAGGTATAAATAATTGGGCGCGGCTTTCTTGCAATAAAACTTTATTCATTTATTTTTTAGAGAGTTGGGGGTCTTGCTTTGTCACTGCACCCAGGCTGGAGTGCAGTGGCACAATCATAGCTCACTGCCACCCTGAATTCCTGGGCTCAAGTCCCAGTCTCCCAAGTACGTGGGACTACAGGCGCACACCACCATGCCTGGCTGATTTTTTAAAAAACTTTTTTGTGGAGACGGAGTCTCACCCCTCTTGCCCAGGCTACTTTCGAATTCCTAGGTGCAAGCAGTCTTTCTGCCTCGGCCTCCCAAAGTGCTAGGATTACAGACATGACCCGTTGCACCCGGCAGAAGCTTTATTTATTTATTTATTTATTTTTATTTATTTATTTTGAGACAGAGTCTGACTCTGTCACCTAGGCTGAAGTGCAGTGGCACGATACAAAACTTTGTTTAATAAAACAAGTAACTGGCTAGATTTGGGCTACAAACCATGGTTTGCTGACCCCTGTTCCCTATCACAAATAGCCAAGTTGGCTTTGGCAAAGTTTACTTCTGGACTTTTTTTCCATTCCTTAAGAAGAATTTTTCAAATAACTACAAAGGTTATTGCTTTGCTCCTACATTCCTAGTCCCACCATGTTCAAGAACTGTGGTACCCATTCAATTTTGCTTTGATTATTCAGTCTGATTCTTGAAATAGTCATTTCTCTAGAGCTATTAAAAATGAAAAATCTAAGGAGTTTTGTCCAACTTTATATCTTTTACATGTAACTGACAATTCTGTAGTTATCCTTTCAAATTAAAAGCCATATGTATAGCTTTCTCAGTGATATGTTACAGCAGAGGAGGTAATAACAAATAGTGTCCCAACTTGTTTTTCTAGAACCTTCCCAACTGGAGATGTGAAACGGTCATTCTCCATCCACTCACCTGGTTTCCTGCCACAGAGATAGAAGGCTAGTCTGTCCGTTAGCTCATACTGTATTTCCACGAGGCGCTCTGCCAGCTCATGGTGCCCTCCTTGCCTACCAAGAGAAAACAAAGTACCATTTATATTGCTCACTATTCACTGACTTTAAAATGGAGTACAAAGACGTCTCCTGAGACACCTGAGCAGTTTATCACACAAGACTTTTGAGAATCATCAACCTTCTTGTGGTAGGTAGATTTCTGAAGTCTACTTTGCATCCCACTTTTATAAACTGTTTTCACCATCTGAACTATCGCCTTTCCTTTATTAAGGCCAAAATAGAATATTTAATAAGAAATTCAAAGACTTATGAGAGGGAAGGATACAGAATGACTTAATTTAATGAGGTAAAAAAATGAAATTAATCAATGGTTTACGGTAGAAGTTCTCAAAAATTAACTAGCGCATTTCTAGAAATATACCATGTGCAGGCCCCACCCTTGGAAATTCTGAATCAATGGGGACAGGATGGGGCCAGGGGCCAATATGTTGAAGAAGGTCCTTCCCCTAGGTGATGCTGATGCAGCCAGTCTGACTCTGGATAAGAGTCTAGTAACCACTTCAAAGGCTTCAAATCAGTGAGAGACACGCCAACCTAACGCACAGCTCACGCCTGCAGCTACTTCTGCCTCCTTATCTTCAATTTGCACAACAGAAAATATTAAGTTTACCTTTCAACATCCATGAAATAAATACTTAGGCTGCTTAGAATCCTTTCAGCAACAAGGATACAAATTATATTGAGATTATTATATGCAAGGTACAAGTGCGAAAATTCCAAGGTAAGTGATAATAAGTATCATTTACCCAGGGCTCTCGTCCAAGATCAAGTATATTTTGTGGTTTTTGTCCTTAAAAGTAATGGCAAAAACTGCAATTACTTTTGCACCAACCTGATAGTTTCAGCCAGCTTCTCTCCCCACCATTCAAGGCACTCACAACACCCTTCAACCTACCACACAGCTTTGATTTGTGAGAGGCACATCTTATTTTCATTTTTTAGTATCTGTGAAATCAGGAAATGTCCTACAATTGATGATACACCATAATTTAATTGGCTGAACTCTTTTCTTTTTTAGTGCTCTGTGAAATAATGAAGCACCATGCAATACTGTACTCCTGCTGTTATTCCCAGACCCACTCTGTTCTTTCCAGTCAGGTCTCCTGCTGTGCTGAACACACTTTGTCCCTCCCTGCCTCCTGATCTTGACTCCTGCCTTTCCTCTTACCTGGAATGCTTCAGCTCTCCCTTCACACATTCAAATCCAACCCATTCTTCAAGACCAGCTGAAGAAATTTCTTAAATGATTTGGACCACAATGAAGAAACCCTATATATGCTTTTTAAGACCAATTATCTATTTTGGCAATGAATCCCATATGGTCTTGCCTCCTTGAACTCTTTCAGGCATTTATGAATCATCTTTTCCAAGAGAGTAAATTCTGGGAAGGCAGAGTTTTGTTATTCACCCATTTTATCCTCTGTGGAACAGAGTATTGTGCTTCACAGTTAATAAAAGTACTTTGGAAAAAGAAGGAAAGATGACTGATCTTTGGCCATTTAAATGATATTCAAGACTAACCTATAGATTTATTTTTCAAGGACTTTATTAATAAAGAAAAATTTAAATAATTTTACAGTGAGCACTTTTTTTTTTTTTTTTTTTTGAGACAGAGTCTTGCCCTGTTACCCAGATTGGAGTGCAGTGGCATGGTCTCGGCTCACAGCAACCTCTGCCTCCCAGGTTTAAGTGATTCTCCTGCCTCAGCCTCCCGGGTAGCGGGATTACAGGTGCCTGCCACCATGCCCAGCCAATTTTTTTTTTTGTATTTTTAGTAGAGACAGGGTTTCAGCATGCTGGCCAGGCTGATCTCGAACTTCTGGCCTCAAGTAACCCACCCGCCTTGGACCCTCAAAGTGCTGGGATTACAGGTGTGAGCCACCATGCCTGGCCTAGAGTGAGCACTTAGATGTCTACTACCCAAACCTTACAATTAACTTTTTACTATACTTGTTTAATCACATATCTATGTATATATTTGCTTTTAAGTTCAAGAAATAACTAAGAGTATTAAAAAACAGAAGAGTACATTCTGTAATTCTTGATACTTGATTTGGAATCTGACTACAGCTCAAACATCACTGTGTTATAAAGGATCAAGTAAAAGACTGGAAGCTTAGCACACTGGTTCATGATTCTAGCCTTCCTCAACTTTGCCAGGCTGAGCTTATATGCATTTGAAATGTCTTCATCTGTAAAATAAAATAACGTACATCTTTAAAGGGGTTCAATATCAACATATACAACTTAGCTACTTAACAAGGAATCACACCCAACAAAAAAATCCCAGAGAGAAGTAGCGAGAATCTAGGTCTCTTACCTTGCATAATCAACGGGAGTTTTCCCACTAGAATCCTGTGTGCCTGGGTCTGCTCCATATACTGCCAATAATTCAGCCTGTAAAATCTGCCCTGCTTTGGAGGCAACATGGAGTGGGGTGTTTCCTTTTTCCTAAGAATCATTAATAAAAAGTAGGCAAAAGAGCACATTAAATAAAGGCTACATGAACACAACTCACTTAGTTTCAATATCTGAAGCAATTCATGTTTTCTTACAGGATGAAAGAAGTTGGCTTGTGCTCCTAAAGATAACAGTCTCAAACAGGTTTCAAGATTCCCTGTTCTCACGCTCGAATGGAGTTGCTGAAAAACGCAGAAACAAAAAAGGAATCGTGGTTAGAGGTGTAAAGAATGATGTCCTAGGGCAGCTGATAGACCATTTTAATATATGTTACATCAGTAACGCATAATCTTTATTTGTCTCGGTAAAGTGCATGGACCAGTCTCTCCTTTGCCAGTCACAACTGTCCCTGGGCTGTAAGGTGGAGTGAGGCCACTTTACTGATAAGGAAACTAGGGCTGTGAAGGCTGACTTGCCCAAATGCATGACTTATCTAAGAAGTGGCACAACCAGAACCTGAGTGAGAGGCAGGACTGTGTGAAGAGGTGACTATGCGTGGCTCTGACATACGACAGACCTGAATTTCAAACTATACCCACTTCAAGCTGTGTGGCCTGGAGAAAGGGCTTTAAGCAATCTGAACCTCACTTTCCTCATCTCAAAAATGTCAACAATGGCCAGATGCAGTGGCTCATGCCTGTAATCCCAGCACTTTGGGGGGCTGAGGTTGGAGGATCACTTGAGCCCAGGGGTTTGAGACCAGCCTGGGCCACATAGCAAGACTCTGGCTCTACAAAAAATACAAAAATTAGTTGGGTGTGGTGGCATGCGCACCTGTAGTCCCAGCTACTAAGGAGGCTGAGGTGGGAAGATCACCTGAGCCTGGGCAGTGGAGGCTGCAGTGAGCTGTGATCATGCCACTGCACTCCAGCCTTGGTGACAGAGCGAGACCCTGTCTCAAAAAAAATAAAAAATAAAAAAAATTTTAAAAGGTGGCATTTTTCTTTTTAGAAAGGGTCTCGCTTGCTCTGTCATCCAGGCTGGAGTGCAGTGGAGTGATCATGGCTCACTGCAGCCTCAGTATCCTGGGCTCAAGCAATCCTTCCACCTCAGCCTCCCAAACAGCTGGGACTACAGGCGCCGGCCACCATGCCCTGCTAACTTTTTATTTTTCAATACAGATGAGGTCTCACTATGTTGCCCAGGCTGATCTCGAACTTACGAGCTGAAGTGATCCTCCCACCTCGGCCTCCCAAAGTGTTGGGATTACAGGCATGAGCTACCGTGCCTGGCCCTATTCACAGGGTTATTATAAGGATTTAGTGATATAATAAAGTGCTCAAAGAATACAAATGCTATAATAACAGTTATTATTATTAGTTGTTACTGTAATTAGGGCTTTAGGACTTCAAATTCTACACTGTGTAAGCTACAGGATCCTGCCTTATACAATACCCTCTCTACCACATTATTCTTGGCCTGTATAATATGCTTTAATAAAGTCTTTCAGGGTAGGAAAAGGCCCGTGATATACCGAATTCTGTACTACTGCAGAAAAGCTCTTATACAGTCAGAAGATGAGCTGCCTTCCTTCAAATCTAACCTAGAATTGTCCAAGATGCAGTAACCCTTATCACAGGAATGAAGAAATCTACTCTAACATCTAAGTTTAATTTTTTAAATAGTTTTTTTGTTTTTTAAACACAGGGTCTCGTTATGTTGCCCAGGCAGGACTGAACTCCTTGGCTCAAGCAACCCTTCCACCTCAGCCTCCCAAGTAGCTAGTATTACAGGGATGTGCCACTGTGCCTAATTTTTTAAAACTCTGGCAAGGAAAAAAAAACAAAAAACAAAAAACCCAACACATACCAAGTCTTATTAATCAATGGAAGTAGCTAGTATATGCATTTCTATGCAAAATTTCAAATTCTGAATTCTTCAGCCAGATTCTGCTGGGGATTAAAAAAGGGGGGGGAAAAAAGGCCAGATGTGGTGGCTCACGCCTGTAATCCCAGCACTTTGGGAGGCCAAGGCAGGCAGACTGCTTAAGCCCAAGAATTTGAGACCAGTATGGACAACATGGTGAAACCCCATCTCTCCAAAAAGTCAAAAACTGGCCAGGCGCGGTGGCTCATGCCTGTAATCCCAGTACTTTGGGAGGCCGAGGCAGGCAGATCACTTGAGGTCAGGAGTTCAAGACCAGCCTGGCCAACATGGTGAAACCCTGTCTCTACTAAAAATACAAAAAAAATTAGCCGGGCATGGTGGTGGGCACCTGTAATCCAAGCTACTCAGGAGGCTGAGGCGGGTGAATCGCTTAAACCCAGGAGGTGGAAGTTGCAGTGAGCCGAGATCGTGCCACTGCACTCCAGCCTGGGTAACAGAGACTCTATCTAAAAAAAACAAAAACAAAACACACACACACACACACTAGCCAGGCTTGGTGGCACATGCCTGAGATCTCAGCCACTTGAGAGGCTGAGGTGGGAGAATCATTTGAGACTAGGGAGGTTGAGGGTGCAGTCAGCCATGATTGTGCCACGACACTCCAGCCTGGGCAACAGAGTGAGACTCTGTCGTTTAGGCTGGAGTGCCGTGGCATGATCTCAGCTCACTGCAACCTTCGTCTCCCCAGTTCAAGAGATTCACAGCTGAATTCTACCAGACATACAAAGAAGAACATCCTACTAAAATTATTCCAAACAATCAAAGAGGAGAGACTCCTCCTTAACTCATTCTGTGAAGCCAACATCAGCCTGATACCAAAATCTGGCAAAGACACAACAAAAAAGGAAAACTTCAGGCCAAAATCCATGATGAACACAGATTTTTTAAAAAACTCTTAACAAAATATTAGCAAACCAAATCCAGTAGCACATCAAAAGTTAATCCACCATGGCTGGGCGCAGTGGCTCAGGCCTGTAGTCCCGGCACTTTGGGAAGCTGAAACAGGCGGATCATGAGGTTAGGAGTTCGAGACCAGCCTGGCCAACGTGGTGAAACCCCGTCTCTACTAAAGATACAAAAAATGGCCGGGCGTGGTGGCTTACGCCTGTAATCCCAGCACTTTGGGAGGCCGAGGTGGGCGGATCACGAGGTCAGGAAATCGGGACCATCCTGGTTAACACAGTAAAACCTCGTCTCTACTAAAAATACAAAAAAATTAGCCGGGTGTGGTGGCGGACGCCTGTAGTCCCAGCTACTCAGGAGGCTGAGGCAGGAGAATGGCATGAACCCGGGAGGCGGAGCTTGAAGTGAGCCAAGATTGCGCCACTGCACTCCAGCCTGGGCCACAGAGCAAGACTCCGTCTCAAAAACAAACAAACAAACAAACAAACAAAAAAAAACCAAAAGATTAGCTGGGCCTGGTGGCACGTGCCTGTAATCCCAGCTACTTGGGAGGCTGAGGCAGGAGAATCACTTGAACCTGGGAGGCGGAGGTTGTAGTGAGCCAAGATCATGCCATTGCACTACAGCCTGGACTACAGAGCGAGACTCTGTCTCAAAAAAATAAAAAATAAAAAATAAAAATAAAAATAAAAAAATTAACCCATCATGATCAAGTAGGCTTTTTTGCTGAGATTCAAGGCTGGCTCAACATACACAAATCAATAAATGTAATTTGCCACATCAATAGAAGTAAAAGCAGGCCAGGCGCGGTGGCTCCTGCCTGTAATCCCAGTACTTTGGGAGGCCGAGGCGGGAGGATCACGAGGTCAGGAGATCGAGACCATCCTGGCTAACATGGTGAAACCCTGTCTCTACTAAAAATACAAAAAAAATTAGCCGGGTGTGGTGGTGGGCACCTGTAGTCCCAGCTACTTGGGAGGCTGAGGCAGGAGAATGGCATGAACCTGGGAGGCAGAACTTGCAGTGAGCTGAGATCGCACCACTGCACTCCAGCTTGGGCGACTGAGCAAGACTCTATCTCAAAAATAAATAAAAATAAATAAATAAATAAATAAATAAATAGAAGCAAAAGCAAAAACCACATGATCATCTCAATAGATGCAGAAAATGTTTTCTTTTTTTGAGACAGGGTCTTGCTCTGTTGTCCAAGCTGGAGTGCCATGGTGTAATCTCAGCTCACTGCAACCTCCACCTCCTGGGCTCAAGTCATCCTCCAACCTCAGCCTCCCAGGTAGCTGGTACTACAGGCACGGCCACCATACCCGGCTAAAATTGTTATATTCTTTGTAGAGACGGGGTTTCGCCATGTTGCCCAGGCTGGTCTTGAACTTCTGAGCCCAAGTGATCTGCCAGTCTCAGTCTCCCAAAGTGCTGGGATTACAGGAGTGAGCCATCGCACCCGGCCAAAAAGTAATAAAAAAAGTTCTGAATAAGTAAGTTCTCATGCTCTGTGTGAGTAAGCATTTATCCAAGGCAGCGCTTTGAAAATATGCACATTTCTTACAGCATCTCTCAAAAACATGCGAAGGCCCACATAAAGAAAACCACCTCACTCGTTTTACAAGTATCATAAACCATTCTGTGTACTATAGCTTTGAGTCACACATTGCTTTCTGAAGATCATACTTACTGTTCAACCTGGAAACCTGAAGAAGTCCCCTTCCTTTAGTACTTTTTCTAGTCCTTATTAAAAAGAAACAATTGTCCTATAATCTTTCTAGTCCCTTCTAGAAACAACTCTGAGATGGTTCCTATTTCAAAGTTAAACAAACAAAAAACTTATCAAAATATAATTTAAAAGCCATATTGGAAAAACACAAACAGCCTTCCAGAGACTTACTTTTCCTCTTTGCCCTGAACCTCCACTATATGAATGGCTGCCATTTGAATTCAGATTAAAGACGAAACCGACTGACAAAAAAGCTATTAATTAATGAATGTGCAGAAATGAGTTTTTGTTTTTCTTTCTTTAAAAACTTTTTTCAGCCTGGGCAACATAGCAAGAACCCGTCTCTACAAAAAATAAAAAATATTAGCTGGGTATGGTAATGCGCCTGTAGTTCCAGCTACTCGGGAGGCTGAGGTGGAAGGATTGCTAGAGCCTGGATGGTCAAGGCTGCAGTGAACCGTGATTGCACCACTGCACTCCAGCCTGGGCAACAGAGCAAGACCCTGTCTCAAAAAAAACAAACGAAAAACAAAAAAACCCTGGCCGGGTGCAGTGGCTCACGCTTGCAATCCCAACACTAGGAGGCCGAGGCAGACGGATCACCTGAGCTCAGGAGTTCGAAACCAGCCTGGCCAACATGGTGAAACCCCGTCTCTACTAAAAATACAAAAATTAGCTGGGCATGGTGGCATGCGCCTGTAATCCCAGCTACCTAGGAGGCTGAGGCAGGAGAATCGCTGGAACCCGGGAGGCAGAGGCTGCAGGGAGCCAAGATCGCGCCACTGTACTCCCGCCTGGGTAACAGAGACTCTGTCTCAAAAAAAAAAAAAAAAAAAAAAAGCCCACAACCAGACTTTTTTTTCGTTTTTTCAAATAAAACAATATGCTGTCTCAGCCCGCTCTTTTAGGGATTTTAAAAGGTGTGACCCACCTTGCTAAGATCTTTGGCAGTCACACTATCGTCATCCCGGCAGGGCAAGCGATGGACGAACGCTAACATCTGATACTTGGCTCTGATGAATTCCGCTTTATTGGGACTGGTTCAAAAACAAAAAAGAAAACAGTTCACTCGTTCAGATACAACAATCCCCATTCTTTGTACTGTAAAAAGAAGAGGAAGTGACCCACATCCCCCACTTGAGAATAAAATGAACAATGCTCAAGTAAGTTTCAGCAAGGTTTAAGACCTGCAGTTTGAAAACATACATTAGTTATTATAATGGCTGGGACTCCAGAGTACCTGCTTTTTATAGTAGCCCTCTTCTCTGTGTAATTGTCTGAACTGATTTAGCAACTTTGGGAGAAAGCAGCATTTAGTCCCATCTTATAAGTGAGGCAACAGGCAGACGGGTGCCCAGACCTAGATTTCTGGTCTGATCGCCTCTTATTTGAGTATAAGTTTAAATCTGATTACATTTACAGACTCCAAGCCATGGTTTCCAACTGAGGAAGCCACTTACTCCTGCTGGGTGGCCATGCTAAACAGATGGTCCTGCCCCACCCCATTCTGCATTTCTAATAGCAAAGAACCTGATGCACAACTAGGGTAACCCCCTCCTCTGCTGCCCTTGCGGAGACTGACCAAAAATAGCTGCACTCCTTTCAGTGGGCCCCATTTGTTATGAAGAAATAAAAGTATTTATAAACATTCCACTCACTGTACTTTATCCTGTGGATTAGCTTTACGTCTTCCACTCATAATAGACGCAGGGTCCAGCAAAGAATGCTCCCATATAGAGTTAGCACCGTTATTATACAAGGTCTCAACCATCTAAAACCAAGCAGGATGACATAAGACTTTAATTTCTTTTCACAAATATTCAATGGGGATCAGTGACTGAACAGAGTAAACAAAGTCCTGTTATAAACACTCATTTGTTAGGAATATCATTCATATCATTGTTTTCTGATTTGAGAATGAGAAAGATGATCAATCTATATGCAGGATTCAGCTTTGACTAGTAGGATAGTTAAATACCTAAAGTGTGACTGAACTGTTCTTATTCTGTATGAAAGAAAAAAAAGTACTCTGACACCTTAGAGCAGGGTTTCCCAAACCTAATTAAACACTATTTTCAACATTCTTAATGACCCATGTACTGTCTATATTATTCACTTAATATTTGTCTTTAAAGCCACTTACTTGTAAAAACAACTACAGTTTGATGTGCTAGTTATAGCTTTCCCATACACAGTAAAATAATGTAACCATTAAAAAAAACATGTATTACCTACATCTGTCTTGAATACCACTGGTGGTTCCACATTTGGGGAATTGTTGCTTTAGGGTCAACCCTGGCATTCTAAACAACTCATCTCTGGACTTTACTGAGACTCTGTACTACAATCTGGCTTTGCAAACACAGACAGACCTGAGAGCAGTAAACAGCCCCTTTCACATGAGCGTGAGCGGTTAGAAACTTCTAAGCAAAAGTTAGTAATAAATCATATCTCCAAATTTCATTTCAAGGCATGACTCCTAAAACAGCCCCATCTGTTTTTTACAGCAGTGTAGTTATTTTCACATCAGAGATACAAACCCACTTGTTTTGGCTCCTTGGTTCACACAGCCAAGTTTAAGGGATATGTGCAGCTGTCACAGATTCAGTGAAATGTGTAATCAAGACAAATGAAGGCAAAACACACACTTAACCTTGAGTTCCAAGAGAACTTGAAGAATGTGTACCCCAAGATAGAAGTAAAGGTGACATGACATTGGACTCCAGATAAAACAAAGAACTCATTTAACAGGGTATTCTACATGCAATCAAAACATATTAATTTAATTTGGTCTCTCTGACTAGTAACAAGAGCTTTAAGAAAACTTAAAATGTTTCAGAAGTTTCTGAGGAATCCCAGCCCATGCTGCTATCAAAGCAGAAAAACATGTTCTAAAAATATTAGCAGGTACTCAGGAATAAGTACATTAAAGAAAAGATTCTCAGGCAGTAGCCTTCAGAAACATTCATTATCATGCATAGAAAAGATGGACTACTGGCCGGGCGCGGTGGCTCACGCCTGCAATCCCAGCACTTCGAGAGAGGTTGAGGTGTGGATCACTTGAGTTCAGGAGTTCGAGACCAGCCTGGCCAACATGGTGAAACCCCTTCTCTACTAAAAATACAAAAATTAGCCGGGCATGATGGCGGGTGCCTGTAATCCCAGCTACTTGGGAGGCTGAGGCAGGAGAATTGCTTGAACCCGGGAGGCGGAGGTTACAGTGAGCTGAGATCACGCCACTGCACTCCAGCCTGGATGACAGAGTGAGAGTCCGTCTCAAAAAAAAAAAAAAAACATTTCCGATGACAGTCTAGAAAGTCAACAGAGCAACAGTACCAAGATATTTTAATGACTATTCATCTATCTACCTATAATTGAGCTTGTTGAACAAGATTTATGTCAAGTAGGAAGAAAAGTCTTTACTGAATTCAATACAGATAATATTTGTAAATAGCATTGATGGGCATGCCATCTCTATTCAATTATGAAACAGTTTTGTCTTATGGAAGAAGTACACCAGGAGAAATTTAAGTTATTAACATGATGAGCCCTAAAATGTAAATTACCAACTGTCAGGAGAATTCTTATCCTTTACCTGAAGCAGTGTTGGAGGCCACGGTGTGTGTTTCAGATGCCTCACTTGGGAGATATGGCGCCCTAGACTCCGATGGACACTGCAGCACTCATCACATAAAAACGTTCCCCTATTTACTGATGCCCAGGAAGGATCTGGAAAGAGAGTGAAATCTCAGTGGCAGGGATACCAGCAGGTTGCTATACCGCCAGATGGCAAAAGATGACTGAAGTTTGGTTTGTCAGAAAAAGGAGACATTTTTGTTTCAGTATGCTCATCAATGCATCAGGCTGGTCATCTTGTTGGATGGTATGACCTACCTTGGCTGATTAGGTACAATGTTAATTGAGACTAAAAACACCAGTGGGAGCCTTGGGTAAACAGTTATCTTCTTTCTGGTTCAGGGCCACAGTTTGTAGCCCTAATGTGGATCTACCATTTCAGATGCATGCTTTTTCATTCAAGCTAAGAAAGCAAATTGAGAGGGTACAGACGAATGATTTTGGATCCATCTCCATAAAAATCAAGATAATACTTTTTTTTTTTTTTTTTTTTTTTTGAGATGGAGTCTCACTCTGTCACCCAGGCTGGAGTACAGAGGCACAATCTTGGCTCACTGCAACCTCTATCTCCCAGATTCAAGCAATTCTCCTGCTTCAGCCTCCCGAGTAGCTGGGATTACAGGCATGCACCACCACGCCCGGCTAATTTTTGTATTTTTAGCTGAGACGGGGATTCATCATGTTGGTCAGGTTGGTCTCAAACTCCTGACCTCAGGTGATCCGCCCACCTCGGCCTCCCAAAGTGCTGAGATTACAGGCGTGAGCCACTGTGCCCGGCCAAGATAATATAATTTTGACAGTGAATTATGCAGATAGCATTTTCTGCAGTAAATGTTGTAGACTGCTGTCCTAATTCACTGCTATGAATCAACATGTCAATATGCTTAGCAGAAAGCTGCGAGTTACAGAATCATAAAATCACTCAGCTGCTATGGTTCTGAGGACAGGGAAACCTGGCCTCTTCCATTAGGAAATGTTCTATGATGTCCATGAATTGGTTTGTTTGTCTGTTTGTTTGTTTTGAGACAGAGTCTCACTCTGTCCCCTAGGATGGAGTGCAGTGGCGCAATCTCGGCTCACTGCAACTTCTGCCTCCAGGGTTCAAGCGATTCTCCTGCCTCAGCCTCCCGAGTAGCTGGAATTACATGTGTGTGCCACCAGCTCGGCTAATTTTTGTTATTTTTAGTACAGACGAGGTTTCACCATGTTGGCCAGACTGGTCTCAAACTCCTGACCTCAGGTGATCCACTCACCTCGACCTCCTAAAGTGCTGGGATTACAGGCTTGAGCCACTGTGCCCAGCCAATTAATTGTTTTACATAAACTACCAAGTCCAATCCTGCAACTGATCTGAAAAAAAAAAAAGAAGTTGCAATAACAGCAGCTTCACAGAGGCAAAGATGTAAAATAAAAATGAATAATATTTTTAGTGTGTGTATAATACTTTTTTCCCTTTAAAGTCATAGAGCTTCATTAGCTGTCCTTTGAAACAAGGAATAATTTCATACTTGGCAAGCAGGATGGATCTGGGTAAGTAAACTGAATACCTAGAAACCTCAAATAAAGAAAGAGCTATACTTCGTCAGACTCACAATGGGGTGACAATAGGTGCCACTTAAGCTGCCTGGTCAAAGGGTTACATTTAAAAATTCTTCAATGTCCACAAAAATCTCTAAAATGCATGTACACCATCTTTACCATTTTTTAAGAGTTTATTCAAACCCTTTCAAACCATATAATGAAAAGTTATGGGCTTTCAATCAAAGACGAATCCTGGGAGCCAGTGAGTATGGTGGTTAAGAGGGTTGGCTCTAGAGACAAGGAGTTCAGGGTTTGAACCCCAACTCTGCCACTTCTTGCACAATGATCTCAGACAAGTTACTTGAGTGTTTTCACCATGGTTCAAATGAGAACAATGACAAATCTCGGGATAGTAAGGATATAGAGAATAAGTGAAGTACCTCACACATAGTAAAGTAGTAATGTTAGTTGTTATATCTTTTCTAAATTATTTTCTCAGTATTCAGATATTTTCTAGACGTGAAATTCATGATCACTGGACAAAGTTTTTGATGGGAAATACTTAAAACATTGAACATTTCATGTGACCACTCTACTACTGTACTGAAAATCTCCATGGAGTTTTCAAGTAATTGAACTCAGAGTGTGATGTATTTGAAATGAACCAGATTCATTAAAAAAAAAAAAGTAGAATATTTAAGAAGATGTGATCATGGTTAAATGTTTGCATAAAATAAAACAGAATCAAAATAATTCAATTTAGTATAACTCTGTCGCTATTACTGTATCATCCTAAAAAGCAGAGATTGGAAATGTCCAGATGAAGGAGCTCTACAAAGATGCATTAACAACACTGCTTCCTGCAGTATAGTACTGACACTAATGGCAAAAAAAAAAAAAAAAAAAAAAGACTGTTTTGAAGCATAGCTTTGGTTTTCACTTATTCAGAGGATTTGCAGTATTCTTTTTTTAGCAAGTATTTAACACATATTAATTAAGACAAGTATTCGACTAACCACTTTAGCATCCTGGATCAGAATCCCATGGAAAGAATATTAGAATGTTAACATAGTAAAATAAAAATGTTTGTATGAATGAGATTGGGTAAAACCCTTTAAGTTCATCTGGAGCCAGGGCTCCAGGGACACCACAAATGAACTTCAAAAATGTTTGTGACTCCCCCAGACAAATCTTAGGTAAATTCGTTCACGTGCATTTTAGGGGAGAAGGCCTTAGCATTCAACAGAATCTCAAAGGGGTCCCTAACCCTACAGGTAATTCTCTCAGTAGGGCTGTGCAGAAAAGGCAGCACAAATTCCCAGCTGCTCAATTTCACAGAATATTTCAAGGTAGCCTAATTATATTCAAAACAGGAAGGAAGTGACTCAAGTCTCTGCAGATTAGGCGTATGAGACAACAACTAAAGCGATACAATGGAAGAGAAAATGTTCTGAAATGCACAAAATGCTGCAAAAGTATATTTAGGATGGCAATGGAGGAACAATTTTGCTTTGCCCTGTACCCTATCAAGAAGCAAAACAATATGCATTCCAAGAGGAAGTTAGAAGCTAGACACATGTGAATCAAATACATCACGGTAAGTTCAACTGAAAATAGGCAAGAAAATAAGGAAGTGGAACAAATAACATTTTTAGAGAAAATGATGGAGTTTGTATAACTCACACTAACTTGGTTTAGAAAACACTTCTTTTTAAACTCCTCCATACCCCCTCCCTATCTTCAAAGGAAACTGGTAACACCTGCACTGTACGGGCCATAAAACAACCACATGAGGTTTGAGTTATCACAGTTCTATTTACAATTGGTCTCCACTTCCAAATGACAAGCTTAAGATCAGAACAGTTGCAAAGCCAGTGGTGTTCAATGATTTAATTAAGATTGTTTATCGGACACTATTGTGCCAAGAAAGCCATGTTACCTTCGAATTAACTCAAAGCCAATACATCCAAGCACCTAAAACAGCATGTAATAATCTATCCAGAGACCTGACAATTCAGTTGCAATTGCTAAGACACACTTGATCTCTAAATGTGAATATTATGTATGAACAGTTATGCATCATTATGAAGGAATGGCTTTAGCGTTTCAATGCCCCTATATTGCTGGTGATTTTGCGTTTGTTTCCGTTGTAATCAACGTATGATTTAGATAGTCAAATATAGCTTTAAGGGACTACAAGAGTTCTACTGTAGACAGCATAATGCAAAAAAGAAAAGCCTTAGATGATATGATTCTACGAGTATTCATTGAATCTTCCTCACCACTAAGCGTGATACTCCCGATTATCCTCATTGAAAAAAATGAGGAAATCAAGCAAGTGACCAAGTGAAGTCACCAGCCCAAGGTCAGCCAGAAGCAAAATCTAGTTTGAACCCAGGCCGTTCAGATCCTCAAACTTGAGACAAGCACTGCCTCCTAAGTGCTGGTTGTGTTTGGAAGACCCCGATCTCCTGGCAATTCTCCCGGGCAGAGTAGCTGTCGGATGTCAGCAGCGGGGAAGTCATCTACGGGGACCCTCTGGCGAGTCTCAGGGAGTGTCATCCTCCCCGGGCAGGACACCCAGGCGGAGAAAGGGTCTAGTGGGAGGTGACACCTGCAGCCTCTGGAGGCTGCAGCCGGGAGGACGCTCACATTTTACTTCTGTAATTGGCTTTCCTGTGGATTGCCCAAGCCCCTTCCTGTTGGGGGAGCAGCCCTGGCCCCCGTCACCTCCCCAGTTGGCCTAGGACGGAGGGAACGGGAGGGAACGAGAGGGAAGGGAGGGCCGCGAGGGACGGGGAGGGCGGCGGCCCCCTGCCCGCCCGGCTCTGACAGGCCCGGGACGGTTCCCACCCCAAGGCCGCCCAGGGACCTCTTCGTTGCGACCCTAGCCGCGGGATGCAGCCTGACCTGAGGGGGCGGCCCCGGGGTAGGGGTCCGGGCCAGGAAAGCAGAGGGGAGCGGGCCCGGCCGGTGCGACTCACCCGGCCCGCTGCAGTCAGCGCACACCTCGCTGCTCCGGAGCCGTTTCGACATGGCTCCCACCTCCCACCTGCGGGGAACTAGAGGCCGGGGGACAGCAAAGGCGGCGGTGGCGGCGGCGCTTCCGCTCTAACGGGTCCCAGCTGCGGCGGCGCTGACGGCGGCGCCTCTCCCCTCAGCGCCTTGCAGCCTTGGCACAGCACGCACGCGCGGGGAGGTGCCCTTCGGCGAGTGTCAGGTCATGTGACCGGAAAGGGCACTCTGCCTTGTCGCCATCTTGAGTGAGGGCAGGAGACTGCCCGAGTATCATCTGTCCTACCTTTAAATATTGAATTTGGGTCTTCTTCTCTGGCAGAGATTCCCCTCGTCCCAACTGATTAATACCAGGGGAAGTAGCAATATCTTGTGATGAGAACCCTGCAGCCACAACCTTCCTGAGGCAATCAATGGTCAAGTTCATTCATTCATTCCTTGATTCAACAAATGTTTATCAAGCACTTACCATGCTTTATATACTGTCCCAGCCACTGGAGAAACAGCAGTGAGCAAAGACTGAATTTCTAGTCCTTATGAAGCTTGCATTTTACTGGGGTAAAGTAAAATAAGAATATATTATATGATTCCAGGCTGGGCGTGGTGGCTCACTCTTGTAATCTCAACTCTTTGGAAGGCTGAGGCAGGAGGATCACTTGAGGCAGGAGTTCGAGACCAGCCTGGGCAACATGGTGAAACCCCATCTCTACTAAAAATACAAAAATTGGCCGGGCGCGGTGGCTCACGCCTGTAATCCCAGCACTTTGGGAGGCCGAGGCGGGTGGATCACGAGGTCAGGAGTTCAAGACCAGCCTGGCCAACATGGTGAAACCCCGTCTCTACTAAAAATACAAAAATTAGCCGGGCACAGTGGCAGGAGCCTGTAATCTCAGTTACTTGGGAGGCTGAGGCAGGAGCTTGAACCCAGGGGGTGGAGGTTGCAGTGAGCTGAGATCACGCCATTGCACTCCAGCATGGGCGACAGAGTGAGACTCCGTCTCAAAAAAAAAAAAAAAAAAAAAAAAATTAGCCGGGCGTGGTGGCGCATGCCTGTAATCCTAGATACTCAGGAGGCTGAGGCATGAGAATCGCTTGAGCCTGGGAGGTGGACGTTGCAGTGAGCAGAGATCGCGTCACTGCACTCCAGCCTGGGGGACAGAGCGAGACTGTCTCAAAAACAACTTCAACAACAACAACAAAAATAACAAAAAAGAATATATTAGATGATTCCTTAGGCTTCAGTTTTAATCTCATGTTCAAAATTAAGATAATGCATTGTTTACTTCTAGTCCACGATTTGTTTTTGTATGGCTTGCTACTTAAGAATGATTTTTACATTTTTAAAGGGTTGCGAGATGAAAATGAAGAAGAGAGAGAGGGAAATAAAGAAAAAGAGGAAGAAGAATATGCGACAAAACTTGTATGTGACCAGCAAAGTTAAACATTCATTTTGGCTAAGGACAGATGGAATAAATTATGGGAAAAATGTGATACACCTGCTGGATAGTAACCCCTCAGTAAATAGTAGCTCCCATAATTATGGATATTGCTATTATTTTCTAATTACTGTTTTTCTTCATATGCGTGGAATTTGAGAATAACAATAGCTAACATGGGATAATTTACAAAATGGTGTGAGATAAACACAATGAAATGAGGTAAATCAGTGTGAAGGAGAAAGGAGATGTGACCCTAATACCAATGACTACTTATTGTCTGTCTTACATATAAACACAGCTATGATCTCCATTCAGCAAATATTGAATGCCTGTTGTTAGCCAGGTACTATTTTGGTTTTAGATACTCTGGTAAGCAAAACGATGTGGTTCCTGTCATTATGGGGTTTTCTGATTAATGAGATAGGGAGATTTTCAATAAACACGGCATGATGAAGAAGAAGGAGAACGTTAAGTTGCAAAAGGCATCTGAAAGAATGAGAAGTGCTGGAAAAGGCCTCAGAAGCACTGGTCTTGAGTCCATCTCTACAGTGTGATAAATGTGTGATGGAGAAATAATCACAGAATTCCCACGCATTCCATGGTTAGAGTCTCCGGGTGCCATCCTGGTGCTCCTGCATCCTGTTTTGGTTTAACAACTCACAAATCTTCTGGGCTCCACATCTGTGGAGAATGGATTAGGTTGGGATTCTTGAACAGCTGTTGTTGCAGGCATCTGAAGAGCTGGATGTGCATACACTCAGAGGGCAGAGGGAATGTTTTCACAATGCATTAAATAGCTTCATCCAGCTATGTGGTCTAGTTGTAGACAGCTGAGCTGAAGCAGCAGCAGAAAGTTCAAGCCCATGAGTAGCTAGCTGTAAGTTGATTTGGTTCTTCATTGAGTCAAGGAGGCATAGTGCCTGAAACTCAAAGAATAAACTTCATATTCGCAGACTGTGGTCAAATATGTATATTATTTATCAGTCCTTTCAGCCATAACCTCAAATCCAAAAAGCTAGCTTAAAAATGACATTCATACATGGACTAAATCACCACCATAGTTAGCTATTGAATCATAACCCGGTTCGGAGTTCAAATAGAAGCGGTTCTCAACTGAGGACGATTTTTCTCCCCGAGACGACATTTGGCAATATCTGGAGAGACATGTTTTGGGGAGTGCTACTGGCATTGAGTGGGGAGAAAGACCAGGGCAACTGCTCAGCATCCTACAAGGACCGGACAACCCCCACACAAAAACTGCCCAGTTCAATATGTGCCGAGGTTGAGAAATCATGAAGTAGAAATATCCCCTTTTATGCAAATACTGTATTTGAAGCCACTTCGCCAGGGTTTAGCGTTCCTCCTTCAAAAATTGTCCGGTGTTGCCCACTTCCAAAATGGCTTTTGACCCGTCGTGGAAGCATCTGTCCTGCTCCAAAAAGGCTGCAAGGGTGTCGGCAGCTGGAATGGTTTGGTCCGGGGCTCAGTTGTCACCCCCTGACTTCAGAGCCAATGGAAGAGGCCCAGTTGTGGACCGAACCACATGGGGCTACTGGAGCAGGGGGAAAGAAGCTGGGGACAGGTAGACGGAACTTTCCGCGTGGAGATCTTTGGCCAAGAGAATGAGCCTCAGCTCTGTTCTGTGGGCTGCACTGAGTTTCTCGGTGTGAGCTGGAGGTGGGTGCAATGGCGCGGACCCCGGACCCGGTGCCCAAGGTCGCCTATCCCCGCCGCGGCATGCGGTGGTTCGCTCTCCGCACTTCCCTGTTTGGGGCAGTTAGGTCCGCAGAAGTCTGTCCGCGAGCTGTCAGCGCGGGCGGGAACGCCGCGGGGCGCGGGGTGGGCGCGGCCGACCTGGTCCCTGAGCCGGCCGGCGACCCCGGACCTCCCGCGCGCCCCGCACCCGACCGGCTCAGCCGGCCGGCAGCGTAACACGCCCTACGCTCGCTTGCTCGCCGGCCTCAGGGCAGGCAGGCGGGCGCGGGAGACCCCGCCGGGGCCGAGACTTGGGGCGGGCGACGAGGACCAGGTTACGGCCTCCTCGCCATGTCCTCGGCCTGCGACGCGGGCGACCACTACCCCCTGCACCTCCTAGTCTGGAAAAACGACTACCGGCAGCTCGAGAAGGAGCTGCAGGGCCAGGTGAGGGGCGGGGCGGGGGTCCGTCTCCCGGTGGGGACTTCGGGGAATCGGGGGTCGTTTCGCCTCCCTGAGCCCATTTCCAGCCCTCTGTCCCCGGGATCCCCAGACCCCTTCCACTTTGCAGGTGTGGGACAGTCCTAATAATAGGACACGTATCGAGTGCTTACCGTGCGACGGGCTTTTTAAATATCTTCTCTCTTCACCTTTCCAATAACGCTGGTGGGTAGGTACTGTTACTTTTCCACTGGACAGAGAAGGAAACAGGTCCTCAGACGCTACGTGCCTTGTGCGAGGCCGCCCCGCTGATAAATGCCAAGTCGGGATTTTAACTCGGGCCGGCTGGCTCCGGAATGCACCGTCTTAACCATTTTTAGGTTCTGCTGCCTCAAAGACGTAAGAATAGCACACTCTCCTTGTTGTAAGGAAGGGCTTGGTTGGTTTTGGAGTCCAGGTTCTAACTCGCCCTGTGACCTTGGGCAAGGCATTTTCCCTCTCTGGCCGACGTTAACTTAGCTGTAGAATGAGGATGTTGGTGCTGGGGCAGAACCCAACACTTGACTCTATTGATAGGTCTGGGGTGAGGTCCAGGTGCCGCATTTTTAACAAACTCCCCAGGGAGGCTGATACCTAGCAAAGTTTGAGAATCACGGGTTCTCAGGCTCCTTAAAATCCCTTCCTGTTCTAAAGTGCTTTGATGCTTTAATCTTTTCATTATTGCTATCTCTTTAAAGCAGTAGTGCTCTCAGTTGGAGGTGATTTTGCACCCACGACCCCCCGGGGACATTTGGCAATGTATGGGACATTTTTGGTTGTTGAAAGTGGGGAGTGGGTGCTTCTGGTAGTGGGTAGAGGCCGGTTATGCTGCTCAACATCCTACAATGGCCAAGACAGCCCCCCGCAACTAAGACTTCTCCGGCCCCCAAAGCCGACAGCGTCTTGGTTGAGAAACTCTGCTTTTCTTTCTTTCCTTCTTTTTTTTTTTTTTTTTTTGAGACTGAGTTTCGCTCTTGTTGCCCGGGCTGGAGTGCAATGGTGCGATCTCGGCTCACTGCAACCTCCGCCTCCTGGGTTCAAGCGATTCTTCTGCCTCAGCCCCCCAAGTAACTGAGATTACAGGGATGCACCACCACGCCCGGCTAATTTTGTATTTTTAGTAGAGATGGGGTTTCTCCATGTTGGTCAGGCTGGTCTCAAACTCCCGACCTCAGGTGATCCGCCCGCCTCAGCCTCCCAAAGTGCTGGGATTACAGGTGTGAGCCACCACGCCTGGCTGAGAAACTCTGCTTTTAAAGTCTCCCAACAATTCTGGGAGGTATTGGTGCCCTCAAGTTTCAAGCTAACAAACTTAGCAGTTAGGATGAGGATTTGTGATTACCCCTGAAATCTAGTATGGTTGTTCTTGTTGACTTCATACATTTTATCCAGTGTCTTACAGACCTGGTTTTTGAATGGCTCAAAATTGGTGCTATAATTGTCAAGAAATTGTAGAGGAAGAGGAGGATTGTTTGTCTTATGGTTGACAAAAATTGAGAAGGTTAGCATTACTCCATTTGGTGAATGGGTGCTGCAAGCTGTGTGCTTGCAACCTGCCATATTTAAGGTGGTTGAGCCCTCACCGAAGTCCAAAATTACCCTCTTTTCTTTTCTGTTTCTTTTTTTTTTTTTTTCTTTTTGAGATGGAGTCTCGCTCTGTCATTCAGACTTGAGTGCAGTGGCGCGATCTCAGGTCACTGCAACCTTCGCCTCCCGGGTTCCAGCGATTCTCCTGCCTCAGCCTCCTCAGTAGCTGGGATTACAGGCTAATTTTTGTATTTTTAGTGGAGGTGGTATTTTGTCATGTTGGCCATGCTGGTTTCAACCCCTGGCCTCAAGCAATCCGCCCACCTCTACCTCCCAAAGTGCTGGGATTACAGGCATGAGCCACTGTTGCCGGCCTTTTTTCATTTAAAAAGAATTCCAGATACGATAAACTTTTGTGAGAGTCATCGTTCTTAATTAGATGACAGACCAACTATTTAAGAGTTAAGGAGATATGACACATGCCCTCAGACTAAATGATTCACCATTAGGCATTTTAGTATACTGATCATTTAATTCCTTTTCTATTACTAGACATGGTACAGAGGTAAAAACTGTAAGACTCAGCTAGGACACTTTAAAAATGACCAGTTTTGGTTTTTAGGAATCTACTTCTTTTGGTGCCCAGGCTGGTCTTGAACTCTTGTACTCAAGTGATCTGCCCGCCTCAGCCTCCCAAAGTGCTGGGATTACAGGCATGAGCCACTGTGCCTTGCCCAAATCCTGTATTCTTAACCCCTACTATACTTCTTTCAGTAAAAATGACTTCATTTCAAGATTATGGAGAATAAATAAGGAAGATAATGGACCTGAAAGTGCAGGCATATGGTAATTGGAAACAATATTTACTAGTAGCTGCTGCTATTATAATCATCATTTGTAAACCTGGGGATTGAGCTTTTTTGCTCTATATTCCAGTTTTTCTGCAAGGAAGATGTATTGATTGCATAATTAAAAACAAAAAATTCTTAAGTCCGGGCACGGTGGCTCATGCCTGGAATCTCAGCACTTTGGGAGGCTGAGGCAGGCAGATCGCCTGAGGTCAGGAGTTGGAGACCAGCCTGACCAACACGGTGAAACCCCGTCTCTACTAAAAATACAAAAATAGCTGGATGTGGTGGCACGTGCTTGTAATCCCAGCTACTCAGGAGGTTGAGGCAGGAGAATCGCTTGAATCCAGGAGGCTGAGGTTGCAGTGAGCCAAGATCGTGCCACTGCACTCCAGGCTGGGAGACAGAGCGAGGCTCCGACTCAAAAAACAAAAAAAACCCAAAAAATTCTTATCACCCCAGCAATAAAGTGGCTGTTTCCCTTAATGTTTTGTTTGCTGGTGAGTTTCTGCTGTCAGTTTCCTCATTCCGTCTATCACCTGATTGAGACTTGGAGCATGTATACTGATAGCTGTAAGAATTTTTTTCCAGGTTTTTTGTTCCTGTTCCAGGAACAGCAACACAAGAAAGAATCAAGTTTATCCAGATGAAGAGGATAAGCACGTGTTTCTGTGTGTGTGAGCCAGCCCCAATCCCACTGTCTCACTAATAGCAGGCAGTTGTGTAACTATGCCAACTACCAGATTGTTTCAGGCCTTCATTTGATCAGCAGAGGCATTTAATAAAGTGCCTCTTAACCCATCAGCTCATTAATATTCAGTGGGGCCTTGAAGTTGGTTGCTGAAGTTGAAACTGTTTGTGTTCTGCTTATGTCGTTGGCCGCTTAGCTAAAGAAGTCTGTTAAACTTCTTTGGCCTTCTTACTGATGGTGAGACATGAACACTTAAGGGGACAGATGCAAAGGTGAGTCAGTGTACCTTAGACAGGGTTGGAAAACCTGGGTTGTGTGAGGTGGAGGGTGGCAAATGAGGCCTGACTCTAGAGCCAGGCTCCCTGTTTAGGAAGCCAGCAGGTGAAAAGTATAGCACCTAGGTAAGAGGAGGACATTCCTGGGGTTCTCACTCCAGCCTGGGGCAGGCCAGGTGAGGCCCCGGGCACAGATTCAAATCGCTGAGCCATGGGCTAGGCATCCAAGATGAAGAGCCTAGAGCCTGCTCTCCTCATGTGCCCCCTTGGTCATCGGGGGTTCAAGCTCACCTTAGGAAACTGGCCTCAAGATTCCTGTTTCCACTGACTCAGCGTGGGGGCCACACAGGACCAGGATGGTCTGAGAGTGAAGAGGAGTGAGGGTGGTTGTCTGTGTTGAGAGAGAGGAGGACTAGCCAGCAGCCTCTTGCTGGAGTCCCCCTAAAGGTGACAGTGAGTTTATGAAGCACTTCCTGCATGCCAGGTACCAAGGCACAGGGGAACTGATAATTCACCTGAGGCTAGTGGGCAAGCTGGAAGGGGTGTCCAGTTGTCTGGTTCTGCAGCCTGGCCTCAGAGCTCGGCAGGAGGATGGCAAGATAGTAAAGAGGGCTTTTGATTGAGGAGGCTGAGGTGGGGTCAGTGCTTGAGGACAGGAGTTCAAGACCAGCCTGGCCAATATAGTAAGACTCCGTCTCCTTAAAAAAAAATTTTTTTTGGCTGGGCACGGTGGCTCACGCCTGTACTCCCAGCTCTTTGGGAGGCCAAGGCAGGTGGATCATGAGGTCAGGAGTTCAAGACTAGCCTGGCCAACATAGTGAAACCCCATCTTTGCTAAAAATATGAAAAATTAGCTGGGCATGGTGGCGGGTGCTTGTAATCCCAGCTACTTGGGAGGCTGAGGTGGGAGAATCGCTTGAACCTGGGAGGCGGAGGTTGCAGTGAGCCAAAATCGCACCATTGCACTCTAGGCCCGGCAACAGTATGAGACTCCATCTCAAAAAAAAAATAAATTTTTTTTAAGGCTTTTGAGCAAGAAAAGTGGATGAGCTGAAATGAGCAAATAGGAAGGAAACTCCTAGTTAAAGGAGGATGGGTATTTTTATTTGGGTATAGCTCATGGCTAAAGAAACTTAAAAGGAAAACCTAAATGATCAGTTTCGAAAGTGAATTCCAGCCGGGCGTGGTGGCTCAGGCCTGTAATCCCAGCACTTTGGGAGGCCGAGGTGGGCGGATCACCTGAGGTCGGGAGTTCGAGACCAACCTGACCAACACAGAGAAACCCCGTCTCTACTAAAAATACAAAATTAGCCAGGCGTGGTGGTGCATGCCTGTAATCCCAGCTACCCGGGAGGCTGAGGCAGGAGAATTGCTTGAACCTGGGAGGCAGAGGTTGCAGTGAGCCAAGATCTCGGTGAGCTAAGATTGCACCATTGCACTCCAGCCTGGGCAACAAGAGGGAGACTCTGTCTCAAAAGAAAAAGTGAATTCCAGCTAAATTCTGAAACTCCTTGTTCTCTGAACTCATATTATTAGTTGAAGATTCTAAGCCCCACTAATAACTGTAATGCAATTTGAGCAAATCCCTTTTAGGGAGAAAGTGACAGCTATATGAAACTACATAGTGTGGGCGTATGATAATAACAGGTAACTCTTCTCAGCACTTACTGTGGTGTCAAGCACCGTGCTAAGTTAAGGACTTTCCCCTTGTAAGAACTGTAAGGTAGGTTTTTTTTATTGTTCAGTTTTACAAGCGAGCAAACTGAAGCTCAGGAGGAATTAAGCAACTTGTCAAACAGTACATGAGAGATTCGTTTTATGTATTATGTATAAACATATACAGATTGATTTTTTCAAAAGATTTTTATTGCGATATAGTTCACTTATATAATCTACATTTAAAGGTTATTCAATGGTTTTTAGTATATCTGCTGAGTTATGCAACTATCACTACTGTCAAATTTCAGAAATTTTTTTCTTTTTCTTTCTTTTTTGTTTTTTTGTTGTTTTTGAGACAGGGTCTCACTCTCTTGCCTAGGCTGGCACCATCACAGCTCACTGCACCCTTGACCTTCTCGGCTTAAGCAATCCTCCCACCTCAGCCTCCCAAATAGCTAGGACTGCAAGCAAGCACTACCACGCTTGGCTAATTTTTAAAGATTTTTTTGTAGAGAAAATGTGTCCCTATGTTGCCCAGACTGGGCTCAAGCAGTCCTCCTGCCTTGGCCTGCCAAAGTGCTAAGATTACAGGTGTTAGCCACTGCACCCACCCTGTAATATTTTCCTCACCCGAAAAAGAAACCCCATACCTGTAGTAGTCACTCCTCATTTCTCCCCAACCCCTCCAGCCCAGGCAACCTGCTAACCTACTTCCTGTCTCTAGATTTGCCTATTCTGGACATTTCATATAAATAGAATCATATGTGGCCTTTTGTTTCTTCTTTTACTTAGCATAATGTTTTGGAGGTTCATCTACGTTGTGGCATGTTTCAGGTGCTTAATTCCTTTTTATCACTGAATATATTCCATTGCATGGATGTACTATGTTTTGTTTGTTAGACGAAAATGTTTCTCCGTTTGTCAGTTGATGGACATTTGGGTTGTCGCCACTTTTTGGCTATTATGAGTAACGCTGCTGTGTGTATTTGTGTATATGTTTTTGTGGGTTTCCTTTTTTTTGAGACAGCTTGCTTTGTTGCCCAGGCTGGAGTGCAGTGGCATGATCTCAGCTCTCTGCAACCTCTGCCTCCTGGGTTTAAGCGATTCTCCTGTCTCAGCCTCCCTAGTAGCTGGGATTACAGGTGTGCACCACCACGCCTGGCTAATTTTTGTATTTTTAGTAGAGATGGGGTTTCACCATGTTGGCCAGGCTGGTCTTGAACTCCTGACCTCAAGTGATCAGCCCACCTTGGCCTCCCAAAGTTCTGGGATTACAGGCATGAGCCACTGCACCCAGCCCCATGTATAAGTTTTTGTATGGGTATATGTTTTCATTTATCTTGGGTATATACCTTGGAGAGGAATTGCTGGGTCATGTAGTTACTCTATGTTTTAACTTTTTGCGGAACTGCCAGCAATTTTTCGAAGTGGCTGCACTATTTTACATTTCCACCAGCAGTGTATGAGATTCCAGTTTCTTCACATCCTTGTCAACACTTGGTATTATCTGTTGTTTTGTTTGTACGCATCCTAGTGGGTGTGAAGTGGCATCTCATTGTGGTTTTGATTCGCATTTCTCTTATGATTAATGATGTTGAGCATCTTTTCATGTGCTTATTGGCAATTTGTGTATCTTCCTTGGAGAAATGTCATCTCAAATCCTTTGCCCATTTAAAAATTGAGTTATTTGACTTGTTGAGTTGTAAAGGTTCTTTGCATATTCTGGATAGTAGGCCCTTATCAGTATGTGATTTGCAAATATTTTCTCCCATTCCATGGGTTGTCTTTTTTTTTTTGAGATGGAGTTTCGCTCTTGTTGCCTAGGCTGGAGTGCAATGGTGTGATCTCGGCTTACCACAACCTCCGCCTCCCAGGTTCAAGCAATTTTCCTGCCTCAGCCTCCCGAGTAGCTGGGATTACAGGCATGCGCCACCATGCCTGGCTAATTTTGTATTTTTAGTAGAGATGGAGTTTCTCCATGTTGATCAGGCTGATCTCGAACTCCCTACCTCAGGTGATCCTCCCGCCTTGGCCTCCCAAAGTGCTGGGATTATAGGGATGAGCCAATGAGCTCAGCCAAAATTTTGTTCTTTTGCATGTAGATATGCAGTTGTTCAAGCGGCACTTGTTGAAAGGACAGTTCTTTCCCAATGAATTATTTTGGCACCCTTGTTGAAAATCAATTGACCATAAATGTGTGGGTTTATTTCTGGACTCTAAATTGTATTCCATTGACCTGTATGTCTGTCCTTATGCCAGTACCACGTTGTCTTGATTGCTGTAGCTTTGTGTAGTACGTTTTAAAATTGGCAAGCGTGAAATGTGAGTCCTCAGACCTCTCTCTTCAAGGTGGCTATTCTAGGTTTCTTGCATTTCCACATGAATTCTAAGATCAGCTTGTCAATGTCAGCAAAAAGCCAGCTGAGATTTTGATAGGAGTTGAATTGAATCTATACCTCAGTTTGGAGAGTTTTGTCATTTTAACAATATTGTCTTTTAAACCATGAGCATAAGGATGTTTTTCAATTTATTTAGGTCTTCTTTAATTTTTTGAGGTTTTTTTTGTTTGTTTGTTTTTTGAGATGGAGTTTTTACTATTGTTGCCCAGGCTGGAGTTCAATGGCACAATCTTGGCTCACTGCAACCTCCGTCTCCCAGGTTCAAGCGATTCTCCTGCCTCAGCCTCCCAAGTAGCTGGGATTACAGACATGTGCCACCACGCCCGGCTAATTTTGTATTTTTAGTAGAGGTGGGGTTTCTCCATGTTGGTCAGGCTGGTCTCGAACTCCCGACCTCAGGTGATCCGCCCACCTCAGCCTCCCCAAGTGCTGGGATTACAGGTGTGAGCCACCACACCAGGCCAGTTCTTCTTTAATTTTTTTTAAACAATGTTTTATGGTTTAAGAGTATGTAAGTTTTATATTTATTGTGTCATATTTATTCCTAAATGTTTTATTTTTTGATGCTATTATAGATGGAATTGTTGTCTTAATTTCATTTTTGAGTTGCTCATTACAAGTATGTAGAAATATAATTGATTAGTTATTGATCTTGTGTCCTGAAACCTTGCTGAACTCATTTAATAGTTCTAATAGTTTTTTGGTGGATTCCTTAGGATTTTATACACAAGATCATGTCATCTTCCTTTCCATTCTGGATGCTTTTTATTTATTTTTCTTGCCCAGTTGCCATGACTAGAATCTCTAGTACAATGTTGACTAGATATGGTGAAAGAGGACATCCTCATCTTGTTCCTCATCTTAGAGGGGAAACATCCAGTCTTTCACCATTAACTATGATGTTAGTTGTGGGTTTTTTAGAGATGCTTTTTGAGGAAGTTTCCTTTTATTCCTAGTATGTTGAGAGTTTTGGTTTTTTTCTTTTAATCATGAAGGGATGTTGGAGTTTTGTCAGATGTTTTTGCTGCAGCTGTTGAGATGATCATGTATTTTGTTTTATCCTATGATATGGTGTAATACGTTAATTGACTATCTGAAGTTATACCATTCTTATATTTGTAGGATAAGTCTCAGTTGGTCATAGTGTATAATACCCTTTTTATATGTTGCTGAATTTAGTTTGCCAGTATATCGTGGAGGATTTTTGCATCTATATCATAAGAGATATTAGTGTGTGGTTTTCTTTTCTTGTGACGCATTTGTCATCAGGATAATAGTGGGTTCATAAAATGAATTGGAAAGTTTTCCTTCTTCATCTATTTATTGGAAAAGTTTGTGAAACATTGGTATTAATTCTTTAAATGTTTAATAGCATTCACCAGTGAAGTCCAGGCATGGTGGCTCGTGCCTGTAATCCCAGCACTTTGGGAGGCTGAGGTGGGCAGATCACATGAGGTTAGGAGTTCAAGACCAGCCTGGCCAACATGGCAAAACCCCAATTTTACTAAAAGTACATAAATTAGCCAGGTGTGGTGGTGGGCACCTGTAATCCCAGCTACTCAGGAGGCTGAGGCACAAGAATCACTTGAACCTGGGAGGTGGAGGTTGCAGTGAGCTGAGATTGTGCCACTATACTCCAGCCTGGGCGACAGAGCGAGACTCAGTCTGGAAAAAAAACCCATCTGGGCCTGCATTTTTTTTGGTGGGCAGTTTTAAAATTACTAATTCAATCTCTTGTTATAAACTTATTCAGATTTTTGGTTTCTTTTTGAGTCAGTTTTGCTAGTTTGCATTTCTGTAGGGATTTATCTTGTTCATCTAAGTTGTCTAATTTGTTGGCATACAGTTGTTCATAGTCTTCTTTTATTTTATTTTATTTTTTGAGACGAAGTTTTACTCTTGTTGCCCAGGCTGGAGTGCAATGGCACAATCTCGGCTCACCACAACCTCCGCCTTCCGGGTTCAAGCAATTCTCCTGCCTCAGCCTCCTGAGTAGCTGGGGCTACAGGCATGTGCCACCACGCGCGGCTAATTTTGTATTTTTAGTAGAGACGGGGTTTCTCCATGTTGGTCAGGCTGGTCTCGAACTCCCGACCTCTAGTGATCCACCCGCCTCGGCCTCTCAAAGTGTTGGGATTACAGGCATGAGCCACTGCACCCGGCCCATAGTTTTCTTTTATAATCCTTTTTATTTCTGTAGAGTTGCTAATATTCCATCTTTAATTCCTGATTTTAGTAAGTTAAGTCTTCTCTCTTTTTTCCCTGGTCTATCTAACTAAATGTTCGTCAATGTTGTTGACATTTTCCAAGAACCAACTTTTGGTTTTGTTGATTTTCTCTGTTGTTTTCTCTTCTCTATTTTACTCATTCCCCCTCTACTCTTTATGCACTTATTGTTTTAAAATCACACTGTCATCATAATACAATTACAGCATTTTTTTTCGACTGCCTCTTCAGATGAGAGAGATGCAGGAAGGTCTGAAGAGTTACAATTATCCAAGAAATGTGTGCTGCTCTGTGGCTTATCCATAGGTGCTCCTCTGTGGTCCGAAGTAGAAAAAAAGTTAACATCGTAATGTATTTGGCTTTTATTTTGTACATCATCTCTAACTGTTGCCCAGGAGTTTGAGTGTTTTTTGTTTGTTGTTTTGTTTTGTTTTGTTTTTGAGACGGAGTCTCGCTCTGTCACCCAGGCTGGAATGCAATGGCACAATCTCAGCTCACTGCAACCTCCGCCTCCCAGGTTCAAGCGATTCTCCTGCCTCAGCTTCCCGAGTAGCTGGGACAATATAGGCACTCACCACCTCGCCTGGCTAATTTTTGTATTTTTAGTAGAGATAGGGTTTCACCATTTTGGTCAAGTTGGTCTCGAACTCCTGACCTCAGGTGATCCACCCACCTCGGCCTCCCGAAGTGCTGGGATTACAGGCATGAGCCACCGCGCCTGGCTGAGTTTGAGTGTTAATCCTTACTCTGCGCTTTTAGTTTTGCTCTGGGGTGTGAATTGTAGTAAGTAGTTTCCCCTTTCCCATGATAAACATTTTTACACACCTCCCCTGTGGCAGGTAGTATGCTAAACCTAGCACCTTTCATTTAGATTGAATTTGTTAGGTAAGAAAATACTTAGTTTATGTAATAGACGTGTAGGAAGATAATGAGTTTGCTAATTATTTCTTTCCTGCTAAACTTCAACTGAATTTATAGTTCATAAGTTCATCGTCTTGTTACTTTTAAAAAAATATTTAATGCAAGTTAGAGACTAAGGTAAGAGAATCTAGAAGATATTAATATGACTTGGATCCTACCCTTTGGAATTCTCCATCTCTTTGGTGCGATGGACAAGTCATAACCTTGGGAAGAGTCAGGGAATCATGGGAGGTGTGTGGACTGGGCTCCAGGAGACAGGAAGGTATTTTAGCACCGGGGGAACACTGAGGCCTGGGATTGGTCCAGGAGGACTTATGTTCAGCTAGCAGATGTCTTCAACCACGTCCCTTATTCCTCAATAAGAGTTATCTTCACTGTATAATAGCCATGACATAGTTTTCGCAAAACAGGGAGGTTTGATAGCTATTGGATTGTGGTGGTTTACCCATGCTCCTGCTTCACTTTCCTAAGTGGCACTTTCTGCGTATCTTCAGAGACTGCAGGGGTAGTTAGTACCTGAATAACAGCTAGCATCTTAAATCAAAATAAAGCACATTTTCTAAGATGTATTATGGCATTTAAAAAGTTTTTACAGGCTGGGCATGGTGGCTCATGCCTTTAATCCCAGCTACTAGGGAGGCTGATATGGGAGGATCACTTGAGTCCAAGAGGTCAAGGCTGCAGTAAGCTGTGATCACGCCACTGCATACCAGCCTGGGTGACAGGGTGAGACCTTGTTTAAAAGAAAAAAAAAAAAAAGGTTGTACTTTCCAAAAGTCCATGGCAGTTTGTTGTATTCTTGGAAGAACTTTCAGAGTCACATTTTTTAGGCAGTGCCCAGGCATTGAGACTTAGCTCACACTAGAGAAATTGCTGCGTGGCTCTGGACACGCGGTGCAGGTGCCAAAAGGGGGGCGAGAGTGGCAGAATAGGAACGAAGAGGTAAGAGCCAGGTGTGCATGTCTAGCATGGGGAAGAAAACCCTTGATGGGATGGATGGAAGTGACGCATGTGCACTTGCCTATTTCTTTGTGAGTAGATCCGCATACGTGCCCGGCAGATCATGCTTGCGGTCTGAAGGACCCACAGATGCTGCTGGAGTTTATGTGCTACTTCAAGGCACGTGGAACTCAATACACAATAATGAGAGTGGTGTTTTGGTGGGAATCCAGCTAGAGAATGTAATTTTATTCTGACCCAAATTATCTGTGCTTTCAGTTTTGATTAAGGTCCTATACTTCCTATTCTAGACTTGAATGCTGATATGTGCTTGAGAAATCCCCCATGTTCAGTGTTGTCCGGTGATTGCATTTCATGAAAGCTCCTGGCCTTATTTAGACTTAATTTGAGTGCTGTTGAGAGCTTAAACTTGTGTTGGATGATCTGGAGCCTGTTGCCAACATTTATTTATTAGGCACTTAACTTTATAGAAAAAGGAATTCAGTAACTATCACCTTCATATATAATCCCCAAATTCATATTTTAACTGTGCCCAAATGCAAACATACCTTCTTACATGTGTTGCTCTAATTAATGCATAAATATGTTTTCTATTTTTTGTACTTGAAATATCTGTCAAGCACATTTCCCTATTTTAATGTAATACATCCAATTATGTAAATGCCAGTGTTTCCTTCACAGAATGTGGAGGCTGTGGACCCACGAGGTCGAACATTATTGCATCTTGCTGTTTCCTTGGGACATTTGGAATCTGCTCGAGTCTTACTCCGACATAAAGCAGATGTGACAAAAGAAAATCGCCAGGGATGGACAGGTAAGTATACTTTTACAATAATTTAAAGTCCGTCTGAGCACCATGGTGAAACCCTGTCTCTACAAAAAAATATGAAAATTAGCCAGGTGCGGTGGTGCATGTCTGTAGTACCAGCTACTCAGGAGGCTGAGGGGGTAGGATCACCTGAGCCCGGGGAGGTTGACACTGCAGTGAACTGTGATTGCGTCACTGCACTCCACCCTGGGCAATAGAGCAAGAACTTTTCTCAAAAAAAAGGTCATTCATTTTAGTTTCTGTTTCTGAATAAAGGCCAGTCTCAATCATACTTTTCCTTGGAGTCATCTTTATCTTAAGATTTCTCTCTTGGGACAAGGGATGGGGACAAGGAAATGGGAGCCCAGGATGATGCAGGTTGCGTCCCAGGCCAGAAACCCTCGGTAGAGAATGACTCCTCATCCAGAAACAGCTCTCAGTGCAAACTTCTTCCACCATACACGAATGTGGAGGCCAGTTTTCCCCTGAGGAATATGGTTACCTCCATTGAATCCATCAAAATAGGCAAAAATCAAAAATAAATTGTGGCTAAAAGTAGCCTCTTCCTGGGAAATCCTGTCACTTCACTTGTTTGTAAGCTCTTCTACCATTGGCCAGAGTAATTTTGTGTTGACTGAGCAGGGATACTGTAGGCCAAGCCCTGCCTGCCAGGTCTACATATAACCACAGTTACATGTTGTGTGATCGTATAGTTAAAGCCAACTGTCTAAACACATTATCAGGATTTCGCAACCAGTGGTAAGAATAGGGGTCGGGAGAGGTGGACGGGGTTTGATCAAGGTGCTAAGGGTACTCTATGTTTTTTACTCAGTGAAGAGCTAGCAATCAGAAGTCATGATCATCCTGGTAAGGTTGGACTGCAGCCCTTTTCTTCTGAAGAAAATACTGGTCTTTGATCTAGATACTTTTTCAGCCTGGTTTTGGAATTTGTCAGAAAGTATGAGAATTAAATTTCACCCTTTTGTTTTCTAGTTTTACATGAGGCTGTGAGCACTGGCGATCCTGAGATGGTGTACACAGTTCTCCAACATCGAGACTACCACAACACATCCATGGCCCTTGAGGGAGTTCCTGAGCTGCTCCAAAAAATTCTCGAGGTATCCATGAAAATGTGGCCAGGCCATAATCTGAGCTAAATGCTGATACAATTACTGGAGACACAGTTTGACATCCTTGTGTGCCTTCCTAAAGAGTTTTCTGATTCGTGAATATGAAATACTCAATACCAATCACATTATTCCTTGCCCTTCTAATTTGTGGAAATGTGAGTTCTTTTACAAATTACACTTCTAAGTCACTGGGCTTACCCTTTTAAGTACTATTTAAAAATTATAATTGAGCCAGGTGTAGTGGCTCATGCCTATATTCCCACCACTTTGGGAGGCTGAGGCAGGAGGATTTGCTGAAGCCCAGGAGTTTGAGACCAGCCTGGGCAACAAACAAAGCAAGACTCTGTCTCTAAAAAAAAATTAGCAGGGCATGGTAGTGCATACCTGTAGTCTGAGCTACTTGGGAGGCTGAGGTAGGATGATCGCTTGAACCCAGAAGGTTGAGGCTGCAGTGAGCCACCCCTGAGTGAGGGTGCAGTGATCGCACCCCTGCACTCCAGTCTGGGTGACAGAGCAAGACCTAAAATAATAATAAATATAATAATATAATAATAAATGATAATAAAGTAAAAATTAGAACTTAAGGAAAATGGACATCAAACAGTTAATTTGTTTAGGTGCCTGTTTTCTTGAAAGTAGCCTCCTGAGCATCTGTAATCTTAGGAAAGTTGTGATAGGTATCACTTACTATGCAGGGATTTTCAGATTCTGTTAAGGCTCAGAGGTCTGTGTGTAACTTCTCCTTGCCAGGCTTGTCACTTCAGCTATTAGTATTTCGAGACCTTTAGTCCATTGCCCTGATTCATTTATAGAGAAAAATTAATAGCTCTATCGAGAAAAGGAACAACTTTATTATAAATAAGACAGTCAGCTGGGTGTGGTGGCTCACGCCTATAATGCCAGCACTTTGGGAGGCTGAGGTGGGTGGATCACGAGGTCAGGAGACCGAGACCATCCTGACTAACACGGTGAAACCCCATCTCTACTAAAAATACAAAAAATTAGCCGGGTGTGGTGGCGGGCGCCTGTAGTCCCAGCTACTCAGGAGGCTGAGGCAGGAGAATGCTGTGAACCTGGGAGGCGGAGCTTGCAGTGAGCCGAGATTGCACCACTGCACTCCAGCCTGGGTGACAGAGCGAGACTCCATCTCAAAAAATAAAAAATAAAAATAAAAATTAGTGTCAAGGATTTTAATTTTTTTACTCATATTGGTCCATTGTGATGGACTGCACTGAATTGTATTCTTTGCTTCAAGTTATAGAGAGCCTGTAAATGACCTGCGTACTTAGTGGCTCCAGAAGCTGTCATTGATGTCTTGTCTTTCAACAGTATCTCCTTATAACATACATCAGCCTTTCTTACCACCTGTTTCTTGGAGGTTGTCTTTGCTCATCATTGGAATGCTGGCAGATTTTACTCCAGGGTAGATTCTTGGCCCTCCTGCCCTGTTCTTTGGTAAAAATCATGGCAAAGCCTTGCAAGTGTGTAGGAATAGGAAGAACACCTGGAATTTCTAGCATTTCTCTTCTTTTTTTTTTTTGAGACGGAATCTCGCTCTGTAGCCCAGGCTGGAGTGCAGTGGCGCGATCTTGGTTCACTGCAAGCTCCACCTCCCGGGTTCACGCCATTCTCCTGCCTCAGCCTCCCGAGTAGCTGGGACTACAGGCGCCCACCACCGCGCCCGGCTAATTTTTTTTTTTGTATTTTTAGTAGAGATGGGGTTTCACCATGGTCTCGATCTCCTGACCTCGTGATCCGCCCGCCTCGGCCTCCCAAAGTGCTGGGATTACAGGCGTGAGCCAGTGCGCCCGGCCGCATTTCTCTTCTTGAAGGGTAACTTTTAGATTTCTGAATCTTTAGGAACTTACAGGAATGGTAGGTAAGAAAATAATCCTAAACAGGGCTGCTGTGGTAGTTTAAAACTTCAGAAAGCCAAATTCTACATGTTTCAGAGGAAAGTGGAGAAAAATGTTATGTTAACTGGAGGGAAAATCAACTTCCTGAGGAAGTGGAGTCTAGCAACCTCTTTCGGTTTCACAGAGTAGTTCAATAAATAGGAAGCACTTGCCAGCACACAAACCTTTTACAGTCAAGTTGCTCGTTGAATGGATGGAATTGACATTCCCTGCCCTTTGCCTAGAATAGGTGGTTACCCACATTTGCTTGGCAGTGCTTAAGCCCATCTTCCCAGGTTCATCTTTCTCTTACTGTTAGGAACCTGACTGGAACCCTGAATCAGGTTTGACTTTTATCCCCCTCCAATCCTCTTATTCTCTTGCTTTCTGTTCACTTTCTTTCTTGATTTTTTGAGATGGGGTCTCACTCTGTTGCCCAGGCTGGAATAGTGCTATCTCGGCTCATGGCAACCTCTGCCTCCCAGGTTCAAGCAATTCTTCTGCCTCAGCCTCCCCAGTAGCTAGGATTACAGGCGTGTGCCACCATGCCGAGCTAATTTTTGTATTTATAGTGGAGATGGGGTTTCACCATATTGGCCAGGCTGGTCTCGAACTCCTGACCTTAACTCATCCACCCGCCTCGGCCTCCCAAAATGCTGGGATTACAGGCATGAGTGAGCCACTGTGCCCGGCCATCTGTTCACTTTCTTAATGTCTAGACATATTTTATATCAAGGTAAAATAACACTCTAATATTTAATAAAATAAGTAATGGGCTTACACTTGTTTTTTCTTTCTTTTTTTTTTTTTTTCCATACAGTATCTCGCTCTGTTGCCCAGGCTGGAGTGCAGTGGTGCAATCTTGGCTCTCTGCAGCCTCCACCTCCTGGCCTCAAGCAATCCTCCCACCTCAGCCTCCTGAGTAGCTAGGACTAGAGCGAGCCACCATAGCCAGCTACTTTCTGTATTTTTTGTGGAGACAGGGTTTTGCCATGCTGCCCAGGCTGGTCTCAAACTCCTGAGCGCAAGTGATCACCCGCCTCAGCCTCCCAAAGTGCTGGGATTACTGGCATGAGCCACCTCACCCGGCTAGGGGCTTACATTTTATTTCTTCTTATTTTCTCTTTTTTTTTTTTTTAACCCAGGGTTTTTAAGAACCCTGTTAACCCCTGCTTATGTTGTGTTGATAGTGCCAAGGGTAATCTGTTTTAAACCTTTGTCTGCCCTTCAGGCTCCGGATTTCTATGTGCAGATGAAATGGGAATTCACCAGCTGGGGTGAGTGGCTGTGGGCTCGTTATTTATTTCTCTTTCTAAATTTACTTAGCCCGCATGTAGGTTTATTTTTCCTTTGTAAAAGTTACATGTATTTTTTTTTAGTCAAGGAAATACATAGTGAAGAATAAGGAAAAATAATCACTGATAGTCCCAGTTAAACACAACTGTTAATGCTTTGGGTGTTTTTCATCCGGTCTTCCCCGCCATGCATAGGACTTTTCCTCCCAGGCATTCATGAAGGTAGTATATAGACAATTTCATTTCCTCCTTTTGTCATTTATAGCCGACATCTATATTATTAGTTTTAAAATGTCACTTTATTTTTATTTTTTATTTTATTTTTATTTTTATTTTTTTGAGACAGAGTCTCACTCTGTTGTCCAGGCTGGAGTGCAGTGGCATGACCTTGGCTCACTGTAATCCTCATCTCCCAGATTCAAGCGATTCTCATGCCTCAGCTTCCTGAGTAGCTGGGATTACAGGTGCGCGCCACTGTGCCCAGCTAATCTTTGTATTTTTAGTAGAGAGTGGGGTTTCACCATGTTAGCCAGGCTGGTCTCAAACTCCTGACCTCAGGTGATCCACCCACCCTAGCCCCCCAAAGTGCTGGGATTACAGGCATGAGCTACCATGCCCAGCCTAATTTTTGTATTTTTAGTAGAGATGGGGTTTCATTATGTTGGCCAGGCTGGTCTCGAACTCCTGTCCTCAGCTGATCCAACTGCCCCAGCCCCCCAAATTGCTGGGATTACAGGCATGAGCCACTGCACCCAGCCCAAAATGTCACTTTAAATTGCTAGAATTTTAATAAGTAGATTTACCATAATTTACTAATTTCCTTATGTGGTTTAGCTTGATTCTTTTAAACTTGTTATTCTAAACAAGATGAGGTGAATATTGGAATAGCTTATTTTTTTTTAACAAAATGGATATATTTCTCTAAAGTATTACGTAGGCAGTTGACTGACAGTATATTTCCATAGATGTTCTACTTTCATTTCTTGTAGATAAATTAACGATAACTCCTAACTTACAGGGTTTCAGCTGTTTCCATTTCCAGACTTCCCTTTCAGGCAAGAAGTCATATTTGTATGAAATGTTTAAATGACATAAAAGTACGTAAAAGAATAGAACTTCAGATTGTTTTGAGAAATGAAATTTTTTTCTAATGCACATAGTCACTCTTATTTCAGGTTTTGTTAAAAAGTGGCATACTTAGGCCGGATGCGGTGGCTCATGCCTGTAATCCCAGCACTTTTGGAGGCTGAGGTGGGAAGATCACCTAGGTCAGGAGTTGAAGACCAGCCTGGCCAACATGGTGAAACCCCGTCTCTACAAAAATACAAAAATTAGCCGGGCATGATGGTGGGTGCCTGTAATCCCAGCTACTCGGGAAGCTAAGGCAGGAGAATCGCTTGAACCTGGGAGGCGGAGGTTGCAGTGAGCCAAGATTGCGCCACTGCACTCCAGCCTGGGCGACAGGGTGAGACTCCGTCTCAAAAAAAAAAAAAAGTGGCATACTTTAGACATTTGATACTCTGAATGGTGGATATGACAATATGGTAGGCCACAGCCATATGGCAAGAGTTGCATATGTGAGTGAGGAAGGCCAGATGTACAGACCTTATATAGTGGGGACAGACCCCACTATAAATTGGGGCTCATTTCAGGATCAAGAATACTCTTGGGAAATTTATTTAGACTTTTTTTCTGGTGAATGGAATGGAAGGTTCATTTTTATTTTTCAAGAGTGATTTCCTGTATGGTAAATATGAAAGCCAAGAAGTCCGTTGTTTGATGGTCACCATCTTGCCACTCCCCTCCTTTTATTAAATCAGAATCCTGATTTCCTGGCCTAGGTATTCTTCTTGGCCCTTGAGTTTTTCTCAGTAGTACACTTCTCTCCTCCAGTGCCCTTGGTTTCTAGAATATGCCCAAATGATGTCTGTCGCATCTGGAAAAGTGGTGCCAAACTGCGCGTCGATATCACATTGCTGGGATTTGAAAACATGAGCTGGATAAGAGGGAGGCGTAGTTTTATATTTAAGGGAGAAGGTGAGTGACTTCTCTTGTAGTAATCACTGCTCAAGCAAAATTACAGGGTGATTTTTAACCAAGAAAATGCTTTCACATTCATGTGACTTTTCTGTCTGATCCTTCCTAGGGCATGTTTTTTTGGTTATTCTTATTAATTATTCAGCTCTCCATCCCTGTCTTCGTTCTTGTCTGGCTAGCTCTCCTTCATGTGTCCTTTACCACCCAGCAGTTACCCTTGTGATGTGTCTGCTTCACTTTCCTGAGCCTTTGAGCACAGGCCTTCTGTGTGTATCTCTGTATAACCCTCCATAATCAGGCATGAGAAATGGCATTGCTCACCCAATGTTGTGCATACATAATTTCTGTGAATTCTGTAATAATATATTTTATAAAGGACATTGATGGAATATATTGCTAATAAGAATGCAGATTATTAAGAAAAATTCCGCACCTTTGGGGAAGATGGCTCAGAGCTTCCTATGTGTTGTGGAAAGCTGGTCAGATAATCCCTGTGCAAATAGGTAGTCGATAATCAGTACACTGTAGGTTTTACCAGATAGCACCTGGGAGGACACACATGAAAGATGATACATTTTAACATACGAAGCTTCCTTGTTTTTGCATCTTCCCTACTTTGCACTTAGTTATGCCTTTGTTTCCATTAATAGACAACTGGGCGGAGTTAATGGAAGTCAACCATGATGACAAAGTGGTCACCACCGAACGCTTCGACCTTTCCCAAGAAATGGAGCGCCTCACTCTGGACTTGATGAAGCCAAAAAGCAGGGAAGTTGAGCGGCGGCTCACAAGCCCTGTCATTAACACCAGCCTCGATACTAAAAATATTGCTTTTGAAAGGTACAAATTTAGACTCTAAATTTTAATGTCTAATCCCCATGCTGCCATCTTGAGTGACATGTATGTATTAATTGTAAATTATGGATGGATTGGGCTTTTTCTAATATGACATAATAAACACTAGTGGGTTTTAAGATTGATCTCTAACCAGTAGAAATTGTAGCTGACACTCGACACCATCCATCATTTTTACAGTTAAGTCTTAGAAGACTTAACCAACATGAAGAGTATGAAGAAATGTCTTCCTTTTCTTTTATGTCTTTTATGTGCCCTTTCTAGTGGATTTTACTTGAATCCTATTTTTGTCTTAGTGTTTATGGATCCACAATACTCAGTCCCAGACCACAGAGCGTGGAGTTTCTGGAGGTTAGAATTGACCCAGTACTGAGTTCAGTTGTACTGATATTGGTCAGTCAGATTCACACTTACTATATAGTTAAATGTTTGTTTGTTTGTTTGTTTGTTTGTTTAACCCACCTGTGAGGTTTAATAGTTTAGAGCAAGAATCTGGAGGGGATTCAGTTCTGTTCCAGACTCATAAAGAATTCTCCAGAGAGGTCTGTGCCTTGGTTAATCCAGATGAGGACACCATCACTGGTCATGTGCCTCTGGGCCACATGGAGGGCATGGGGGGGCCTTTGAGTAGAGGCTGTCAAAGCTGTTCGCTTGTTTCTACAGTGGAGACCACTGATCCGAGGGAGTCCTAAGAGCACTGATAGTATTTGCCTAGGATGTCACATCCAGCTTTCTGCAAGCCAAAGTAGCTTAGCCTGAGAAAATGGACACTATCATCCTGATAGTATTTGCCTAGGATGTCACATCCAGCTCTCTGCAAGTCAAAGTAGCTTAGCCTGAGAAAATGGACGCTATTATCCTTATAGTATTTGTCTAGAATGCCACATCCAGCTCTCTGCAAGCCTAAGTAGCTTACCCTGAGAAAATGGACACTATTATCCTGGACTTAGGCCTTCTTTTCTCTTGATGAATATAACAACTGTCCTCTCATTATATTTTTCTTTTCTTTCTAGTATAAAATTGGTTAATAAATGTGTTTAGTCAAGCATAAAACTTGTTAAGTATCCTTTTCTTCTAATTTAGATTGAGCTGTGGAATTAGGACATCTGTTTGTAATAGAAGAAGAAACCAGTGTGTCCAGGGCTGCTGCTAGGGCAGGAGGGTGGCATCCCTGGAGGCAGGGTCAGTCCTCTTCTGCCAGCCTCCTTGCACTGGCCTGGCCAGTTGACATTCATGGTCTTTCAGGGACAGCAAAATTTAGGGACTGACTGGCTTTCCCTGGGAGGGCCTTGGAAAGACATTTCCAGGCTTCCGCATACCCTTCTGCAGACAGGGAGGCCCCTTCAGCTTAGGGCTCTGTTCATAACCCCAGAAGGCAGAGGAAGCTGCCTTTTCTGCCACTGTTCATCCGTAGGGATGAGATGGGGAGGAACTGAGTGCCATCAGCAGGGCTCCTAAATAACTGCGACTTTGGGCAAGTGGCCTCATCTCTCCAGTTTTCTGTTTCCTTAGCTGAAAGAAATAATTGAGTGAATCTGGAGATGAAATCTCCAAAGTCTGTGACTCTTAAGATGTCTTGAGAAGAGACATTGTTCCCCATATTGTTCAACAGTAGAGTTGCCAGAGTCATTGTTTGTTGAAGTGCGATTTGTGAAGAGAGGGTGACAATTCCTGGCTGTTACCCCACTGAGTATAAATGGGAAATGATAGCATATTCCATTTGTACCGAGGACTAAGGCACATTTTGTATTTTTGTGCCCACAGGGTTTTCAGAGTTCTCAAGCTAACTCTTTTGCAACTGACAGTGTGTAGCTGAGAGAGAATTTTTGGAAGACAGCTGCTTTGTTTTAATGGTGCTCAGAATTAAATGTGTGCTTGTCGTGCATTGAGCAAGAATTGAGCCACTCCTTAGGATTGATACCAGCTACGAAAAGAATATAGCTGCTCTTGAATGTGAGGTTTGTTGGTATAAAAAGTGTGTGAATTTACTTCTGATCAGAGGTGTGAGTATTCATTTGATTGAATTTGGAAGGTGTGGCCTTCTCTCATTTTCTTTTCTTTCTTTCTTTTCTTTTTTCTTTCTTTTTTTTTTTTTTTTTTGAGATGGAGTCTCGCTCTGTCGCCCAGGCTGGAGTGCAATGGCACGATCTTGGCTCACTGCAACCTCCGCCTACCGGGTTCAAGCAATTCTCCCACTTTAGCCTCCCGAGGAGCTGGGATTATAGGCACCCTCCATCATGCCCAGCTAATTTTTGTATTTTTGTAGAGGCGGGGTTTCACCACGTTGGCCAGGCTGGTCTTGAATTCCTGGCCTCAGGTGATCTGCCTACTTTGGCCTCCCAAAGTTCTGGGATTACAGGCATGAGCCACGGCACCCAGCCCCCTCTCTCATTTTTTGATGGTCACTTTTCCACTTTTTTCTAATCCGTTACTCAGAGCTTATGTGTGCAAATTAATACCCTGCCCTGATGAATTTTTGGCCTGCAGTATATACACTGTGGTTGCAGTTTGAATTTTTCCCTTTTCTGAAAGATTATGCTTTGCCCACCTCAAACAAAATATTCCCTGCCACCTTCATAGCCTTTCTCCTGATTGTGTAGCAACCACCAAGACACAGTGCCTGTGAAGTGGCCTTTGGTGTGGTCTCAGTGGAGACAGGCAGAGGTGAAAATGGCACGAGAGGGAAGCCAGGTGTTCTATCATCTTCGGATGCTTTTGCATGCAAAGTTACCAAGGGCCACAGAGTTATTAGGAAATTAAAATTTAAAACAGGGTATGAACATTGGGTTGAATAACTAAACTGCTTCCAAGAGTGGAAATGCTGAGCTGGGCGTGCTGGCTCACGCCTGTAATTCCAGCACTTTGGGAGGCTGAGGCGGGTGGATCACGAGGTCGGGAGATCGAGACCATCCTGGCTAACACGGTGAAACCCCATATCTACTAAAAATATAAAAAATTAGCCAGACGTGGTGGCGGGCGCCTGTAGTCCCAGCTACTTGGAAGGCTGAGGCAGGAGAATGGCGTGAACCCAGGAGGCGGAGCTTTCGGTGAGCTGAGATTGCACCACTGCACTCCAGCCTGGGTGACAGTGTAAGAGTCCATCTCAAAAAAAAAAAAAAAAAGAGTGCAAATGCTTAGGGCAGTAGAGGCAGGATTGCCGAAGGAGCAGAGGTAGCCCGGTGAGGAGCTTGGTGGTTCCTTGGGAGAAAAGCATAGCGCCGTCTTCCCAGCGTGCATGAAGGGTGAGGTGGAGCAGACGTAATCATCTTTCCATCCATCAGAAGAGTCTGTGCCAGAAAACAGTGACTTCCTGTGGCAAGACATCAAGTGACTTAAGCAAACAAGGAACTGAGGATTGAAGGAAAAAGGCTATCTCGATTTTCTGGTATTAATGATAAAAGGGGATTGTAGCTTATTAATCAGTTGAGTCTGGTTCCTTACCTTCTGCCCCTGTGACTGTTATCTTGTTTCTGAAGTGTCAGTTGGAGATAGCATTTGGTATAATACTTTTAGGATTCCTCTGTTTCCATCCACGGGTTGTGCTGTCCTAATTGTAGACAACTAGTAGGAAAATGGGAGCTCTGATCCCTCCTGTTCTGATGGGCTAAAATAGACACATAAACTCATTATACCATCTGGACTAATTTCATTGACCAAATCCCATTAGAAGAAAAGCAAACTATTTGGAAACAAAATGCTAATAACCGCATATGTTCTTTGTAACGTGGCTAACCTGCTGCTGTTCCCTGAGCTTCCTGCATGACATCCCAACCACTCAGTGGTCAGAGCAGAAGTCAGGCTGTTGCCGTAGCCAGGGCCAAGAGGAGCTGGGATGTGATGTCCTAGACAAAGGGTAGGGCTGGTCAGGGATCCCCTGTGAGAGGGAGCGTTTCCCAGGGCAAGCTGCTTTGAAAAAGAATCAGAGCCTCCTGGCTGCTTTTGGTTCCTAAATACATTTTTTTTCAGGAGTATGTTGAGTTGAATAACTGAGATTTTGGGCATATTACCAATGCTGCATCTGCCACTGGAATGCTGGGCTACTTTAAAAGGAGTTCCACAGAGATGGAATTAACAGCTGGGCTAAAAAAATCTGTTTTTCACATCCTTTGCCCTGCTGCACCAAACCTGCCCAAACATGTGACTCAGCTATTTTGCAGACCTAATGGCATCTCCAAGCAGCTCACCACAGTGATGAGTTCCTGGCCCACCTGCTCTTTTGTAAGGAGCAGGATGGTCTGTGCCTCATTGTTCTAAGAATTCCTCGAGTGAGATGTGGCTACTTGTGGAGATCCCACCATTGACATGCATGTCCCCAGTTAAGATGACCCAGATAAATGCTCTGACCTGGTTACCACCTTGTGGCAAGCCCTTGGATGCTGGTCATCTTCAGTCACTTCTTTGGGACTGCTGTCCAATAAATGTCACCACCTTTGTCCTCAATGCTGGCAGTTTTGTAAAGAAGCCAAGATTGGAGGCTTTCTATGCCTGGGGTGAGGCAAATTGATTAATAACTGTGGGAGGAGGGTGGAGGGTGCATAAGCCATCTGTCATTGCTAACCGCCTCCTGTGGACAATAGGACCATGATTTCCAAGTGTCCTTCACTAACTTAAGCTGGGGGGGAAAAAAACTATAAAGGCTACAGATATAAATCTGAATGGCATATTGTACATGTAGAAATTTGTGGTGTTCACTTTTTATCAGAACTAAATCCGGATTCTGGGGCTGGAGGACAGATAAAGCAGAAGTTGTTAATGGTTACGAAGCAAAGGTAAAAGGAAACTCTTAAAATAAGATTTAATATAGCTATTTAGCTTCTATGCAAATGAGGAATCTGTTCCCATTTTTTTCATGCATCTGTGCCATGGAGATGCTCTGGGGAATGAGAACTGTCTAATGTGTCTCTCACTTGGATGTTTGATTTTGTCTTATTTGACTTTCAGAAAATGGGATAGCATGCCCTGAGGAGGTCTGTAGCTATGCTAAAGAGAAACAATATGGTAGAGAAATGAGTACAGGTACCAGTTGTTCTGGTAGGAATGACAAGCTAGTCATTCCCTTAATTATTTAAAAAAAAAAAAGGAAGAGGAAGGATTAGACTTCACATGTGTTCAAATGTTGTGTAGTAGCTTTTGAGTCTCTTTTTTGTTAAATCAGCTTAATTGTAATCAGCAGGCGCACAGCCCATTTGCATGACATCAGTGCATTTAAAACATAGTTGTAATAGTGGAGACGATTGTTGATCCAGTCATCTGGCATTTTGTCAGCTGGAAAGCTGTTTCCTGGCCTTTCAGTCCCTCAGTACAACAGGGATTGATGGCTTTTGGTGTTGGAGCCCAGTGCTGCAGGGTCCTCTGGTGGCCTCTGAGTGAGCAAAGAAAGGCTTACGTCATGCTCAGCAAGATACATTTAGAAGCACTTGTCATAGTGCTGAGTGTGTTTTCTGCAGCTTTGAATGTTGGGGCTCCTCACGTGGCATATAGAGAGAATTCTTTGTTAACTGTTATGTTTGATTTTCTAGACCACCATATTCCCCAGTTATCCTTGATAACAGAGCATTTGCTCTGGCAGTTACAATAATTTTTGTCAGTGCACAGAATGCCTTTTAAATAGTGACTTGCTGGTTTTCTCTACAGCTCATAAGTCTATAGAGAACCTTGTGTTCATACCTTTCTCTTCTGCCCAGCAGATGGCTGTCTGAGTCATACTAGTATTACAAGACTACCAGCGGAGGCTGGGTGCAGTGGCTCACGCCTGTAATCCCAGCACTTTGGGAGGCCCAAGTAGGCAGATCACTTGAGGCCAGGATTTTGAGACCAGCCTGGCCAACATGGTGAAACCCCGTCTCTACTAAAAATACGAAAATTAACCAGTCATAGTAGCACATGCCTGTAATCCCAGCTACTCTGGAGGCTGAGGCACGAGAATCGCTTGAACCCAGGAGGCGGAGGCTGCAGTGAGCAGAGATCACGCCACTGCACTCCAGCCTGGGCAACAGAGGGAGACTCTGTCTCAAAAAAAAAAAAAAAAAAAATTACCAACAGAAGTACAGGATCCTGGTTTGGGTACCTTAGTTTAATAGAAACCCAGGTGGAAACCTAGATTGCAGGGCATTTGTTTGAGACTATTTAGCCACAGCAGGGCAAGCAGGAAGATGCAGCCTGTCACTGCTAACTCCTTAGTATTAAAACTGTCAAACATGGGAGGTAACTGCTGATGCATTTTTCAGTTGATAGTTTATATACTTTCTCTGAAGGATCCTAATGATAGTTAACCATTTCTCATTTTTATTTTGCTGGATTGTTTTCTGTTTTTTGCTTCAGCATTCTTGCTTTTGCTGTGCTTACTTTTGGAGTTTTGATTCCCTGTGTCACTGTTTTCTTTCGCATACACCTCTCAGGTTTACACAGTAAACAATGTGAATGTGATCACCAAAATACGCACAGAACATCTGACCGAGGAGGAAAAAAAGAGATATAAAGGTAATCACCACCACCCTCCCACCTCCTGTTTTGTTGTTATTTTTTAAGCCTAGAGGGAACTCTTTGTTGGCTCTGTTAAGTTTAGGGTTAATGTGATTGGGTTGTGTTAAGCCTAACCCTAACTTCTTCTCTCTCTCTCTCTTTTTTTTTTTTTTTGAGGCAAAGTCTCGCCCTGTCACCCAGGCTGGAGTGCAGTGGCACGACCTTGGCTCACTGCAACCTCTGCCTCCTGGGTTCAAGTGATTCTCCTGCCTCAGCCTCCTGAGTAGCTGGGATTACAAGCACCCACCACCACGCCCGGCTAATTTTTTGTATTTTCAGTAGAGACGGGGTTTCACCATGTTGGCCAGGCTGGTCTCGAACTCCTGACATCAGGTGATCCTCACCCACCTCGGCCTCCGAAAGTGCTGAGATTACAGGCGTGAGCCACCGTGCCTGGCCCCTAACTTCTTTTTTATAAAAATTTCTGGCCAGGCACGGTGGCTCATGCTTGTAATCCCAACACTTTGGGAGGCCAATGTGGGCGAGTCACCTGAGGTCGGGAATTCAAGACCAGCCTGACCAACATGGAGAAACCCCATCTGTGCTAAAAAAAAATACAAAATTAGCTGGGTGTGGTGGCCCATGGCTGTAATCCCAGCTACTCAGGAGGCTGAGGCAGGAGAATCACTTGAACCTGGCAGGCGGAGGTTTTGGTGAGCTGAGATCGTGCCATTGCACTCCAGCCTGGACAACAAGAGTGAAACTCCATCTCAAAAAAAAAAAAAAAATTTCCTGGCTGAGCACGGTGGCTCACACCTGTAATCCCAACACTTTGGGAGGCCAAGGTGGGCAGATCACTTGAGGCCAGGAGTTTGAGACCAGCCTGGCCAATATGGTGAAACCCTATCTTTACTAAAAATACAAAAATTAACCAGGCGTGGTGGCGCACTCCTGTAGTCTCAGCTACTGGGGAGGCTGAGGCAGGAGAATCGCTTGAACCCCAGAGGTGGAGGTTGCTGTGAGCCAAGATTGTCCCACTGCACTCCAGCCTGGGTGACAGAGCTAGACTCTGTCTCAAAAAAAAGAAAAAGGAAAGAAAATTTCCTTAGTCTGACTCATTCTTGGAGGTGTTTCCCCATAGTTGGCCTCAGCTGTAATTAAAGCTATTCGTGAGGGCTTGTTTATGTGTTATCAAGAACAATTGTTGAATTCAGCCAAAAAAGGAGATAAGGACATTTGAGAATATTTATCATTGGAATGAGTGATTTAGTCCAAACTATTGTGATGAAAGATTTAGACAGAACTTGGGGTCCAAGCAAAAACATTGCATGTGGTTGCCACATCCCAGCCCCATCCCAGCCCCACCAGTTCTATGGCCTTGTGAAATTACTTCTGCTCTGTGCCTTAGTTCCTCAGCAGTGAAATGCAGGTGATACCCAACCTTCCTTAGAGTTATTGAGAGGATTAGATGAGTTACGACGTGGAAGCCTTTAGAATGGCGCCTGCAGTATGTGGTAAGCATGCAGTAATTGTTCACCAGCACCACCACCACCATTGCCATTACTCCACTTTGACAGATGAGGGAACTGAGGCCCAGAACACATGGGTAGCGAGTGGCCAAGGTGGGGTTGGAATCCAGGTCTGGCTCACTCCAAAATCCAGACTCTTCCCATTATTCTGCTTTAATTCTTACAACTGTTTATCTAGTTTAGAGATCCTCATGAAAAGCACCCTATAAAGGATAAATTAGTTTATGGTTATTGTGAATGATTTGATCAGCCAGTCTGTAATTGCATTTCCTAATGAGGTAGCTTGGACCAGAAACTTTAATGAAGATCTTTTTTTTATAGCCACAAGTGAGATATAATATTAGACTTTAAACTCCCTACCCCTCTGTAGCAGACAGGAACCCGCTGGAATCTTTGCTGGGAACTGTGGAACACCAATTTGGTGCACAAGGGGTAAGTTGAAGCAATGAGCTTTCATTGCAGTTAGATGAAAGGAAACAACTTGTCTGTGTCTGGGATGGCATTTACTGGATCCTGAACAGCCCACTCTATGTAAAGGCCAAAGATACCCCCAAGCTGGAATTTGAGATACTCTTTTGGAAGAGAATTAGATGAGTGACTCTTTGAAAATAAATAAGGATTTTAGAGGAGGGGTAGTGATTATAGAAATCAGGTGCTTTCCCTCTTATCCATTATAAACGAGGGGCCTCTTTATAGAAATGGAACTTAAAAAGGATTCAGGACTTTATATTGCAACAGAGCACCTTAACAAATATTTTCTTACTTGATGCTCACAGTAACTATATGAACTTGGTACAGTGGATGTCCCTGCGGGTCAGAAAAATGAAATTACCTTTCCACTATCAAAGCTAGACAGGGAAACAGCTAGAACTTCAACTCCAAGTCTTCCAAGTCTCATGCACTTTCAGATATTTCTTTCTTTTTTTCTTTGTTATAATCAGGAGATAAAAATGTAAAGGAGAGTAGAGAAATATTTTAAAATGAAGAAATCCATTACACTTCCTGTGTAGTTTGGTGATATCCTCATAGATTTTCTTGTTCCATGCAAAAAAGTTAGTGAATAGAACTTCCCGGTCTTTAGCTGGTTAACACGTCCACCTCAGACACTGAGTGCCACAGGCCTTCACTTGTGAACATCATTTGGCATTTCTGACTCTCCTGAGTTCTGGCTCAGCAGGACCTCACCACGGAATGTGCTACTGCAAACAACCCCACAGCCATCACGCCTGATGAGTACTTCAATGAAGAGTTTGATCTGAAAGACAGGGACATTGGAAGGCCGAAAGAGCTGACGATTAGAACACAGAAGTAAGAGAGGTTCAGCTGCCATTTTCAACCTATGTATGTTTCAGAAATTGTGCTGTTTTATGGTGTTATGTTGGATCATTCCACTGCCCTCCCCACCACCCTTATTTTTTTTTCAGACGGAGTCTCGCTCTGTCGCCTAGGCTGGAGTGCAGTGGCACGAACTCGGCTCACTGCAACCTCTGCCTCCCAGGTTCAAGCGGTTCTCCTGCCTCAGCCTCCTGAGTAGCTGGGACTACAGGCGCGTGCCACCACGCCCAGCTAATTTTTGTATTTTTAGTAGAGATAGGGTTTCACCATATTGGTCAGGCTGGTCTCGAACTCCTGACCTTGTGATCCGCCCGCCTGGGCCTCCCAAACTGCTGGGATTACAGGCATGAGCCACTGCGCCCAGCCTCCTCTGCCCCTTTTTATAAAAAATAATTTTAAAATTACTTTGCCATGAAAGCTAACAGTAGATTGTCCATGTTATTAGCTCCTTTCCAAATAGAATCTAGATTGGATGTAAGAATTCCTTTTTTTTTTTATTGCTAACCAGCTTCAGCTGATCAAATTCAAATGAAACTGTTCCACCCGCTATCATTTCTTCATGCTTGCTGTCAATTAAGGCTTTGATCGTGGCAGGTTGTCATGCAGGTCGCTTGCCTTTATTGCCAGATTTTAGGGTGATGTGAATTCCTTGTGGCCCTAGACATTTGACCTTTAATAGGTCTGAATTAAGAGATGACTGGGCAGAGTGTGGAGTAAAGCTGCTGTTGTCTAGCCTACTGCATAGCAATAATCTCCTTTTCCCATCTGGTGGAGATGACCTCAGTCTTTTCTTGGTTGAATTCTGCAGGTTTAAAGCAATGTTGTGGATGTGTGAAGAGTTTCCCCTCTCTCTGGTGGAGCAGGTCATTCCCATCATTGACCTAATGGCTCGAACGAGTGCTCATTTTGCAAGACTGAGAGATTTCATCAAATTGGAATTCCCACCTGGATTTCCTGTCAAAATAGGTACTGCTAAATAAACTTCAGCAACACTTGGAGGTTCTGCCCATGTTTGTGGGTGGCAGCATGTGGGTGGCAGGATGCTTCAGGGAATTGGAGTGCTTTAGGTCAAAGTAGCTTATAGACATAACAGAGGAGGTCAGAGTTCTCCTGTGGTTTGATTTAAAGAAGTGTTATGATTAGTGGTTCATTTTGTGTATCAAAGTCAAGAGATCTCCAACCATCATTTCTATTTGCAAATGGTGCTGACAGATATAAAAAGGCATAAAAACATGACACAGTCATTGTTTTAATGTCAAACCTTAATTCAGTGAGACTTCAAATTAGATAATTATTTGAGGAAGACAGTTGACACCAAGATCCTTTGATATGTAAATATGATCTACGTCCCAAGCTAGTATGCATAATGCTATATATGTATATATCATACATACTACTCATGAAGAGTATTAATTTTGGATAGTTGTATGTTCATGATACTTGAACCCTGGCTTGATCACTTACTCACTGTGATCTAGGAGAAAATACATAACTCATTTTCTCTTTTTTTTTTTTGAGATGGAGTCTCGCTCTGTTGCCCAGGCTGGAATGAAGTGGCATGATCTTGGCTCACTGCAACCTCTGCCTCCTGGGTTCAAGCGATTTTCCTGCCTCAGCCTCCTAAGTAGCTGGGATTATAGGCATGCATCACCACGCCCAGCTAATTTTTGTATTTTTAGTAGAGATGGGGTTTTATCATGTTGGTTAGGCTGGTCTCGAACTCCTGACCTCAGGTGATCAGCTCGCCTTGGCCTCCCAAAGTGCTGGGATTACAGGTGTAAGCCACCGCGCCTGACCGAAAATACACAACTCTCAATCTCAGTTTTCCCGTCTGTGTATTGGGAAGGGTTGTTATGAGGCTTAAATAAAATTATACTTATCAAAGTACTTGGCATAGTAAGCACTTAGTAAATGATAACTATTATTGTTATTCTCAGTAAAGTTTACTTATAAAAGTTTTTATTTTGTTTGTTAGAAATTCCCTTGTTTCATGTCTTAAATGCACGGATTACATTTGGAAATGTTAATGGCTGTAGCACTGCCGAAGAATCTGTATCTCAAAATGTGGAAGGGACCCAGGCTGATTCAGGTAAAAAAATAAATAAATACAAAGTTTAGTTTTGTTATTTAAAAAAAAATTTATGGCCGGACGTGGTGGCTTATGCCTGTAATCCCAGCACTTTGGGAGGCCGAGGTGGGTGGATCACCTGAGGTCGGGAGTTTGAGACCAGCCTGACCAACATGGAGAAACCCTGTCTCTACTAATAATACAAAAATTAGCCGGGTGTGGTGGCGCATGCCTGTAATCCCAGCTACTCGAGAGGCTGAGGCAGGAGAATCGCTTGAACTGGGGGAGAGGCGGGGGGATGGAGGTTGCTGTGAGCCGAGATTGTACCATTGCACTCCAGCCTGGGCAACAAGAGCAAAACTACATCTCAAAAAAAAAAAATTATAATTCAGTCATCATATTCATAATTCACTCTGAAGCTGGAATATCTGAGGGAGTAGATGTCTGTGTTGGATGAAAGAAAATTTCAGATTTAGTTTAGATTAAGCAAAAAAAAACTTGTAGAATATATATGATCCTAGTTATATTAAAAAGAAAGGATGTTCTTAAAAATCAGCTTTATTGAGGTGTAATGTACATACAATAAAATGCTCTCATTTTAAGTGTGATGGTTCAGTGCATTTTTTTTTTTTTTCTCAGAGTCTCACTCTGTCACCTAGGCTGGCATGCAGTGGCACAATCTCTGCTCACTGCAGCCTCTGCCTCCCAGGCTCAAGCGATTTTCTTGCCTAGTCTCCCAAGTAGCTGGGAATACAGGTGCGTGCCACCATGCCTGGCTGATTTTTGTATTTTTATTAGAGACTGGGTTTCACCATGTTGGCTAGGCTGGTCTGGAACTCCTGACCTCAAGTGATCCACCCAGCTCGGCCTCCCAAAGTGCTAGTGTGAGCCACCATACCCAGCCACATTTTGACAAATGTATGCATCTGTGTAACCACCACCATAGTCAAGGTAGACAGCATTTCCATATGCCCCCAAATTTCCTTACACTCCTTTGCCATCAATACAATTCATGATTTTAGATGCAATTGTAAATGGACTTATTTTCTTAATTTCATTTCCAGTTACTAGTATATAGAAATATAATTGAGTTTTGTATTTTGACCTTGAATCGTTTTTAAAAATTTTTTATCTTTTTTTTTTCTTACACAATTGCATGGCCAGGATTGACCTTGTTTATCTTGTAACATGGCTGAATTTACTTGTCTTACACTTTTTTGTAGATTTCTTAGAATTTCTTACATATATGGTCATGTTGTCTATTAATAAAGAAAATTTTACTTTTTCCTTTCTAATCTTTAAGCTTTTCATTTCTTTTTCTTGACTTACTGGACTGGCTAGGACATCTAGTACAATGTTGAGTAAGAGTGGTAGGAATGGCTGTCCTTGTCTTGTTCCTGGTTCTAGGGGAGGAAGGATTGTTGTGCCATTAGGTATGATGTTAGCTGTGTAGGTTTTTTATAAATGTCCCTTATTAGTTGGAGGACATTATTCTCTTATATTTCTAGTTTGCTGAGAGTTATTACCATTTTTAAGTATTGATTTTTGTGAGATGTGTTTTCTGCAACTATCATGATGGTCCTATGTTTCTCCCCTGTAGTCTACCAGTAGGAGGAATTAAAAGATAGCATTTTAATGTATATAAATTAAGACTTCAAATAAAAACAATTGAACTCGACAATAATATACACCTTTACATTCCCATGTAGCAACAAAGTTGGGTGAGATGTGTTCATGAGGTTGTGCAGCTAAGGAACACTCGTGCACTCTTGGCTGGAAGAGGAGATTGGTATAGTTCCTTGAATAAAACATTCGGCATTACTGTATAAACTGAAGATGTGGATGACCTAGCAATTCCTAGATGTGTACCCTAAAGAAAGTTATGCACATGAGCATCTGGAGACCCCAGTACTGGGCAGCAGCATCCATTCATAACAGCAGAAACCTGGAAACGACCCAAATGTCCCGAGATGGTAGAATGCGCTATTGTGCTCTATTAATACAACAGAATAACATATAGTATTGAAAATAAAAATTTATAGCTATGTGCGTCAAAACTGTTGAATTTCAAAAGCATAATGTTGAATGAAGAAAATCCAATTTGAAGAATAAATTCCGCATGATTCCATTTATGTCGAGTTCACAAACAGGCTAATACAAACTATTAGGATGATATACATGTGGCAAGCTCCAGAGAAGAGCTAGGCAGTGTAAACAACTATTCTGAATTATGTATTTACCTCTGGAGAGGAAGAAGGGAATATTGTTAACAAGGGATGTGCCCGCAGTATGGTATTGATAGTGTTTTTTTCTTTTTCTTTTTTTTTTTTTTTTTTGAGACAGTCTTACTCTGTCACCCAGGCTGGAGTGCAGTGGTGCGATCTTGGCTCACTGCAAGCTCCGCCTCCCGGGTTCATGCCATTCTCCTGCCTCAGCCTCCCGAGTAGCTGGGACTACAGGTGCCCGCCACCACGCCCGGCTAATTTTTTTTTTTTTTTGTATTTTTAGTAGAGACGGGGTTTCACCATGTTAGCCAAGATGGTCTCGATCTCCTGACCTTGTGATCTGCCTGCCTCAGCCTCCCAAAGTGCTGGGACTACAGGCGTGAGCCACCGCGCCCGGCAGTTATTGATAGTGTTCTGTGTCTTAGGCTAGGTGAAGGGCACACAGGCATTTGTTTAATTATTATCATTTTTAAGTGTTCAGATATTTTATATATACTTTTATATATTTACCATATATCTTCCTGCAAAAGGAAGAAACACATTGGTGTGACTGTGCGTATATGTTTAGGGGGAGAAATCTGCGCTTTTCATTTTATAGTCTTGTGTATTTTTTTATGACTGTGTTCGTTGTTTCCACTAAAATCAAGGAAAAAGAAAAAAGCTGTATTCTGTCACTTTTTTCTGTCATGCTTCCTCAGAATCTCTCATATAATAGTAAGCCTTGATTGTTATAATTTTGAGCCTTTCTTTTTTTTCTAATGTACAACATTTTTGCAAAAAGTTGGAGTGGAAATGTAATGAACTCAGACACTGGACGGTTGCCTTTTGTTTCAGCTTCCCACATCACAAACTTTGAGGTTGATCAATCTGTGTTTGAAATTCCCGAATCTTACTATGTTCAAGACAATGGCAGAAATGTGCATTTGCAAGATGAAGATTACGAGATAATGCAGTTTGCCATCCAGCAAAGTCTGCTGGAGTCCAGCAGGAGCCAGGTGTGTTTATCAGAATACTCTAATGGCAGGGCGTGGGAGGTCTTACCCTCTGGGTTAGCCTCAGTGTTTGGCTAATCTGAAAGATTTATTCTAAATATCAAGTTTGACACATTCATGGTATTTGCATAGGTTATACTTTGTGCATCTGGTCTTCTTACAAAAGCTTGTTATGTAAGAGACCATCTACATAATCCCAGTCAGCACCATTCACAAGATGTCTTCAGGCAGACTTTCCTTTTCCTCATATTCACGCACATAGCTTGTAATTCTGTACTTTTTGAGATGTGCTTCATCATTTTCTAGCACTGAAGCAGTATCATATTTTTCCTGAAGGATTACCTGTGTGTCAGTAGTCTCGGATGAAGGTAGTGAAGTGGATTTGAATCCCACTTCCTCCACAAAGGGTACCATCTCCCTAAACTCTCTCTGGGTCTCTAGTGAAACAGAAAATGAAGGACAGGACAGACCTGTGTAAGCAGTAGGCTTTGTGTGTGTGTGTGTGACTCTATGTTGCCCAAGTCGGAGTGCAGTGGCTGTTCCCCGGCATGATCATATTGCACCCTCAAACTCCTGGGTTCAAGAGATCCTCCCACCTCAGCCTCCCAAGTAGCTGGGACTAAAGTCATGCACCACTGTGCCCAGTAGAACAGTTGCCTTTTATTGTCATATCTGGTTCTCCCTCCATGCCTCACCTACCTGGGACAGTCCAAGGCTTGAGGTCCTCCTCCCCTAACATCAACTCCTTCCATCTCCTTCCTTCTGTGCCTCCTGGCTCTACTAGGGTAGGGTCTGGTCTGCCTCCAGCACCCTCTGGTGTGTCCTGGGTTCCTGCAGTCCATTTATTTGTTAATTGGCTTTTTCTTCCATTCTTCATTCAGATATTTGCAGAGTACCTTCTTTGTGCCAGGCTCTGTGCCAGGTGCTGGGAATTCTCTGGGAAGCAGCCCCTGCCCTCACAGGGCTGCTGCTTTGAGAACAGTGCTCACACTCCAGCGTCCTCACTGGTTCAAGCTTATAGCTTTCTGGTTCTATTCCTGAGTCTTAGTGCTTGTGTAATGTGAGTCTACCTCCTCCACTTCCCCCTGCCACCACCATGGCCCCATTCCCAGACCCATTCAGTTTTCCGAGCCAGACCCCAAAGCAAGCATGTTCCCTTTGGGAGGCATCCTGGGAGAAGACCCCTGCACATCACCATCAGCCTGGTATGCTTTTCCTTTCCCTATGTAAGTGAGCTTAGCTCCCCCCGCCAGCTCCCAAGTAGCTTCATAAACCTTGTTGACCATAAGTTTTAACAAGGGAAGTAGCCAAAGTCAAAGACTACCAGTATTGAATTGTGTCTTCTAATCTTGCCCTAGAAGAATTACTGGCTGGGTGCAGTGGCTCATGCCTATAATCCCAGCACTTTGGGAAGCCAAGATGGGAGGACTGATTGAGCCCAGGAGTCTGAGACCAGCCTGGGCAACATAGTGAGATCCTATATCTACCAAATTTTTTTTTTTTTTTAATTTTTGAGGCAGAGTCTCACTCTTTTGCTCAGGCTGCAGTGCAGGGGCACAATATTGGCTCACTGCAGCCTCTGCCTCCCAGGTTCAAGTGATTCTCATGCCTCACCCTCCCGAGTAGCTGGGATTACAGGTGCGCACCACCAGACCCAGCTAGTTTTTGTGTTTTTAGTAGAGACGGGGTTTTACCATGTTGTCCAGGCTGATCCCAAACTCCAGACCTCAAGTGATCCACCAGCCTTGCCCTCCCAAAGTGCTGGGATTAGAGGTGTGAGCCACCATGCCTAGCCTCTACCAAAAAATTTTAAAAGCCAAGTATGGTGGTGTGCACCTGTATTCCCAACTAGTCAGGAGGCTTAGGTGGGAGGATTTCTTGTGCCCTGGGGTCAAGGCTGCAGTGAGCTACGATCACATCACTACCCTTGA